>NW_021160005.1:0-217075 GCF_000001405.40 Homo sapiens
TGGAGAGGGAACAGATCTCAGGGGAGAGTGGGTTTTGGAAGGGCCGAGTGTGAGGAATTGTCTGGCTGTCAGGTGGGAAGCTCAGGAGATGGTAGCGAGATACAGTGAGGGCTGTGTTAGCTTCCTGGGGCTGCCAAACAAATGACCAGAGATGGGGTGGCTTAAAGCAACAGAAATGTGCTTTCTCTTAGCTCTGGAGGCTGGAAGTCCAAAATCAATGTGTCAGCAGAATCCTGCTTTTCCCAAGGGCTCAAGGGAAGAATCCTTCCTTGTCTCTTCTAGCTCCTCGTGGTTTTCGGCAGTCATTGGCGACGCTGCGCTCCAATCTCTGCCTCCGTTTTGGCACATGGCCACCTTTCCTCTTGTAGTTCACATGGCCCTCTTATAAGGACACCAGTCATTAGGTTTAGGGCATACCTTCCTGCACTGTGACCTCATCTTAATTTAACTAATTACATCAGCAAAGACCCTGTTTCCAAATAAGCTCACGTTCTGAGGTTCCTGGTGGACACCAAATTTGGGGGGCACATTATCCAACTCAGTATACGGTCAGCAGCATCTAAATGGTGACTGAGACAGCAGGAATGGCTGCAACTAGCCAGGGAGAGCAGATGGAGGAGGAGGAGAGGGAAGGAGGGGAAGGGGCCCTAGAAAAGAACCAGGGGGCTTAGTCACAGTCTGGAAGGGAGGAGGGCGTGGCTCTACAGGGTCAAGTGCTGTGGGGTGTCAAGTAGAGAAGGGCTGAGCCGCATGCAGCCTCTGGATTCCACGATGAGCTGGCCGGAGACTTTGGCAAGAGCAGTGTCAGGAGACCGCTTGGGGAAAACCCAGACTGCATGGAATTTTGTTTTTACATTTCAGACCCTGGCCTCATAGACCTCTTTTTTATTTGTTTGTTTTTTGAGACAGAATCTCGCTCTGTCACCCAGACTGGAGTGCAGTGGTGCCATCTTGGCTCACTGCAACCTCTGCCTTTTGGGTTTAAGCAATTCTTATGCCCCAGCCTCCTGGGTAGCTGGGACTACAGGGGTGCACCACCACACCCGGCTAATTTTTGTATTTTCACTAGAGACAGGGTTTCATTATGTTGGCCAGGCTGGTCTCAAACTCCTGGCCTCAAGTGATCCACCCGCCTCAGCCTCCCAAAGTGTTGGGATTACAGATGTGAGCCACGGTGCCCTGCCCTCATAGGCCGCCTGAAGGCAAGTGGAATAAGTGGCTCTTCTTACATATTTATCTTGCTGTTGTCAGTTCTTCCGTCGGGCTGTAAGCCCCTCCAGATTAGGGGCTAGATTAGATTTTGTTCCCTGTAACTCTCCCAGACCCCTGCGGGACCCATGGCCTCCTGTGAGCATCAGCACTCACAGCCCCAGCACGTCTGCCCCAGGGCGGCCACCACCTGTGCTGAGAGAGGGTTCCTTATAGGATAGGAAGGTGCCAATTTCAGCTGCAACTATTGACCCTTTTTGCATGACTTCACATGCATGGATTTGCTCATTGAACCCTAACCCTAACCTCTAGTAGTAGGAGAGTACTATAGTACTAAAATACTACAAGAGTACTATTGTTACTCAACATAGCAGATGAGGAAACCAAGGCACAGAGAGGTCAAGTGGCACAGGAAGTGAGGGAGCCAGGATCCAGACTCGGTGATTTGGCTCCGGAGAGCGCAGTGCCTTGCAGAGCGCATGGCTTCACACTGACCATTGAATGGGCTCCAAGGTCATCAGCAGATCTCAGGTGAACCTGTGGATGTGCTCCTGGAGCTCCCTGGAGTTCTTCTGGGTCTGACCTCACTTGGGGCCTGGCTACACGCGCTGTTCTTTACTTCCTGGGATAAAGAGCAGACATTGGCCCTGAGCACTGTGTGTCATCAGAAGGGCAGGTGCAGGCCCAGAGCAGGGGGCTTCCAACCTAAGCGTGACCATTCTCCTCACAGAGCCCCTGCAGACTGGAGACTTTGACCCCACAGGTCACTTGCAGCTGCCCACCACTTTCTCACCTCACCTTTCATGTCTCAGGTGTGTTTCTTTCAGCTGAAAGCCCCAGAGGGACCACGCCTGGCCCTTCCTGGCTCAGCTGCCCCATAGTGGTGAGGTTTTCTGGTTTATTTTTTCAGTTGTTATTAGAGGTCGTCGTTATCTTTCTCATGAGTGACTAAAGCCTATTATCCCTAGGCAAGTTCCTGCCTGGCCAGTGGGTGGGAGCCTCCAGTGTCTGCATCTTCCCCCACACCACCCCCGGAGCCTGAGCTCACACAGCTGGGGTGGGGAAGAACCTGCCTGCGGCCCGTGGGAAAGCTGGGGAAGGAGGGGAGCCTTCTGTCCATGCTGAGGGGGCAGCTGCCGTGCAAGCCCGGCCAGGGGGCTCTTCTCTGCTGTTCTCTGGGTGTCCTGGAGACCACAGGCTGCTCCCAAAGAGAAAGGGATGGGACCAAAGAGAAAGGGATGGGACAAAGGGATGTCCTTACTCCCTCTTGCAAAACTTCTTGCACCTGAGGTAGAGTAAATCTGAGCGCTTCTCCACCCCAGATCTTTGGGAAGAAGGTAAGGGACCCATGCCAGGTGCAGTGGCTCACACCTGTAATCCTAGCACTTTGGGAGGCTGAGGGGGGTGGATCACTTGAGGTCAGGAGTTTGAGACCAGCCTGGCCAAAATGGTGAAACCTCATCTCTACAAAAAATACAAAAATGAGCTGGATGTGGTGGTGCATGTCTGTAATCCCAGCTACTAGGGAGGCTGAGGGAGGAGAACTGCTTGAACCAGGAGGCGGAGGTTGCAGTGAGCTGCGATTGCACCATGGCACTCCAGCCTGGCAATAGAGCAAGACCCCATCTCAAAAAAAAAAGAAAAAAAAAAAAAGAAGAAGAAGGGAAGGGACCCTGTATTAGGCCGATCTCACACTGCTGTAAACAACTACCTGAGACTGGGTAATTTATGAAGGAAAGAGGTTTAAATGACTCACAGTTCCACAGGCTTAACAGGAAGCATGACTGAGAGGCCTCAGGAAACTTACAGTCATGGTGGAAGGTGAAGGGGAAGCAGGCACATCTTTGCAAGGTGGCAGGAGAGAGAGAGGGCAAAGGGGGAAGTGCCACACACTTGCAAACCATCAGATCTCGTGAGAACTCATGCACTATCATGAGAACAGCAAGGGGGAAATCCACCCCATGATCCAATCACTTCCCACCAGGTCCCTCCCTTGACCCATGGGGATTACAATTTGACACGAGATTTTGGTAGGGACCCAGAGCCAAATTGTATGAGACCCCAGCCTCAGTGGACACCGTGTGCCTGCCGGCTTTCATGCTTGCTTGTCCTCTGCCAGGGGCCCTCTCCCCACTCTGCTCACATGACAAGCTCTTACTCATCCTTGCTGTTTCACCTTCAAAGTCGCTGCTTCCAAGAAAACCTCCCTACTTCCCCCATGCTGCCAGAACACCGTGCCCCCTGCCTTCTGTTTTTTTCACCATGGAATTTAGCTTCCTGCAGGGCAGAACCTGTGTCTCGTTGCCCACCCTGTGTCCTCAGCACCTGGTATTACAAAACAGCACAGGTTTGCCACGGTTGAATCGGCAGGTGGCCTGGTCATTTTCCTCTCCTTCCCCTCCCAGAGCCAGGCTCATCTCCTCATGCCTGAGGCTCCTGGCTTCCCTCCCCAAGAGGGACCGAGGCCAGCAGTGAGCAAACAGTGCAGGGAGCAGAAACAGTGCCAAGCCAGAGGACAGGGCTCCTTGGCAGGATGACCTCCTGGAAGAGGTGACTTCATGGCCCAAGAGCTGAGTGGCTGCAGGATGTCAGCCTCGTGAAGGGCTGGCTCAGAGTGTCCTGGGCAGGGAGAGAAATGAGTACAAGGGCCCTGGGGCAGGAACCAGTGTGGCAGATCTGAGGGCCACAGAGAAGGCCAGTAAGAGTGGAGTGAACTGTAGACTTTACCCCAGGTGTGTTGGAAGTTGGGGAGCAGTGCCGTAGGGAGGTGTTCTTGATGCCGGGGTGGCTTGATGAACTAAGGCTGAGGGCCTCCTCACAGCTGCCTCTGCCATCCTGCAGACGCTGGCCAATTATTTGGAAATATTCACAGAAAACACAGCAAGAAAAGCATCCAGTGTCTGGGAGCAGTGAGAGCACTTCTCACCTATCAGTTCCTGGTGTTCATATTAGAGTGAGAAATAGGCCAGGGGCAAAGAAACAGGCCAGGGGCTAAGAGAAT
Organism: Homo sapiens; assembly: GCF_000001405.40. NCBI lineage: Eukaryota > Metazoa > Chordata > Mammalia > Primates > Hominidae > Homo > Homo sapiens. The sequence continues at coordinate 4,211 of NW_021160005.1, forward strand.
CTGTTTTTCAGCCACCCACAGGGATGGAGACAGCAGCATTATGAGGATTCCAGCCCCTTCTGGGTTTAAGTTATTTACACAAAGGTATAAGCCATGTCATAAGAAGGTATCAGGTTATATGGCCAAAAGAGCCATTCTTCTCTCTTAATGGAAAGGAACTGAGCTGCTATAGAGACCAGCTACGTGCTTGGATGCTCACGGACTGATCACATGTGCCCACCTGCCTGGGTACTGATTTCTCCAGTGCTGAAAGGAGGCACCATCACGGGCCCTGCTTGCTCATTGAGGAAACTGAGGCTTGGAGAACTTTGGAGACCTGCCTCAGCCATAGGCCAGCACAGGCAGACAGTGAGCTCAATGCCTGGACTCAAATCTTGTGCCCTTTTTAAAAACCTTTTATTATGAACGATTTCATTCATTTGCCAACAACAGAGGTGGTGTTTTGCAAGATGAAAATAATGATCACATAACGTGGACACCCACGCACCACCGTCCACTTAAGAAATAAAACATGCTGGGACCAACCATCCTCCTGTTGCTCCTGATGGCTGCGTCACCACCATTCGGCCCCTAGGTACCCAGGACAACTCTGAAGTTTACTTGTATCTTCCCCTTGCCCCATGCACCTCTTGCTTTCTGCCAACTGCTTTGTGGTTTCATAGTGTACATAGGATATTACCATGGACTACTCAATGTAGAAATGCATAAATTTGTATGAGAGTGTGTTCATTTCCTGGCCAGGCACGGTGGTTCACGCCTGTAATCCCAGCACTATGGGAGGCTAAGGTGGGAGGATTGCTTGAGCTCAGGAGTTCAAGACCAGCCTGGGCAACATGGTGAGACATCGTCTCTACAAAAAAATGCAAAAACAAGCCAGGCATGGTGGTGCACGCCTGTAGTCTCAGCTACTTGGAAGGCTGAGGTGGGAGGATCGCTGGAGCCTGGAAAGTCGAGGCTGCAGTGAGCCATGATTGTGCCACCGCACCCAACCTGGGCAACAGAGCAAGACATTGTCTAAAAAACAAACAAACAAACAAATAAACAAACAGTGTGTTCATTCCCTGGGGCTGCCGTAATAAATGACCACAGACTGAGTAGCTTAAACAACAGAGATTTATCCTCCCAGTTCTGGAGGCTGGAAGTCTGAAGTCAAGGTGTCCGCAGGGTGGGTTCCTTCCGGAGGCTCTGAGGGCATATCTTTTCCAGGCTTCTCCCAGCTTCTAGGGGCTGCTGGCACCCCTCAGTGTGCCCCGGTGCATGGCCGCACCCCTACAGTCTCTGCTTCTGTCTCTCATGGCCTCGTCCCTGTGTGTCTCTGTGTCTGTGTCTCTTCTTCTCCTTCTTTTTTTTTCCTTTTTGAGATGGAGTCTCACTCTGTTGCCCAGGCTGGAGTGTAGTGTCATGATCTCGGCTCACTGCAACCTCCATCTCCTCGGTTCAACCAATTCTCCTGTCTCAGCCTCTCGAGTAACTGGGATTACAGGCACATGTCATTATGCCCAGCTAATTTTTGTATTTTTGGTAGAGATGGGGTTTCACCATATTGGTCAGGCTTGTCTCAAACTCCTGATCTCAGGTGATCCACCCGCCTCAGCCTCCCAAGGTGCTGGGATTACAGGTGTGAGCCACTGCACCTGGCCTCTGCGTCCTTTCTTCTTCTGATAAGGACACAGTCATTGTATTTAGGGTCACCCTAAATCCAGGATGCTTTCATCTTGAGATCTCTAAGTCAATTACCTTTGTAAAGACCCTTATTTTTGTTTGTTTGTTTGTTTGTTTTTGAAACGGAGTCTCGCTCTGTCACCCAAGCTGGAGTGCGGTGGTGCAATCTCGGCTCACTGCAACCTCCAACTCCCAGGTTCAAGCAATTCTCCTGTCTCAGCCTTCCTAGTAGCTGAGACTGCAGGTGCATGCCACCATGCCTGGCTAATTTTTTTGTATTTTTAGTAGAGACAGGGTTTCACCATATTGATCAGGCTGGTCTCAAACTCCTGACTTCAGGTGATCCACCCACCTCGGCCTCTCAAAGTGCTGGGATTACAGGTGTGAGCCACCGTGCCCGGCCAAAGACCCTTATTGTACACAAGGTTGTATTCACAGGTACCAAAGGTTGGGACATGAACATATCTTTTTGAGGGCCACTATTCACCTACTACTTACAGGAAGGCACTCAAAATTTACTTAGTGGTCAAAGTGCTTGATCAAAAATTTAGGGCCCCCTGTGGTGTGAAGATGTTTGTGTTATTGTCTCTGTCTTGGGGCAGGGGCCACATCTCATGCCCCCTCCAACCCCACTGGCTGCTCAGTAGGATGGAGGAAAGGGGCCTCTGGACTATGGCCTGAGTTTGCCAGGATGCAGCTAAGAATGAGAGTGGGGGCCGGGTCTTCCCTCTTGCGCTGCCATCACAGAGCCCACTTGCCCACCGCCCTCCCCCATCAGACTAGCTCAGTGCTTGCAGTGTGGTTCGCCCCAGTTGTCAGCTCTCCTTGCACCCTGTCCTTGTTCTGTGGGGCACGTCTCACCTAGTAATGAAGGAAATCATGGGTGTCGTTTGTGTTTAAGGCTCACGTTCTCCCCAGATACTGCCTTCCCAGTTCTTCCTTTGTAGACCCTCAAGAGATCATTGTCACCTAAATGAACAAGGTCCTGTGCGGTGATCTGGACCCTTCTTTGCCTAGTCCAAAGGAGACCGCAGGGTGTGCTGTGTCACAGTGAGGTGTCCAGCCAGCACAGGAGGAAGGAATTACTGTAGTTCAAGTGGATTTAGCCTGCTTGGCCTATAGAGCCGAGAGCACAAAGCAAACAGCTGCTCAGACACCTTGGCTGGGAACCTAGGAGGCCCCCATGGGCAGTAGTTTCCCCAAAATGATGGCCAAGCACCTGCTTCGTGCTGGAGACCGAGACAGGAGTACACACAGATGGAGGCACGTGGATAGACTGCCTCTCTGGCCCTGCTTGCAGTACGATGAAAGTCCTGCCTCCTGACCCCAAGGCCACCCCTGCCCTTGGGCCCTTCTCCCACTCTACTTCGGCCCTGAGCTACTTTTTTTCTTTCTTTTTTCTTTTTTTTCTTTCTTTCTTTTTTTTTTTTTTGAGATGGAATCTCCCTCTGCTGCCCGGGCTGGAGTGCAGTGGCATGATCTCGGCTCACTGCAATCTCCACCTCCCAGGTTCAAGCGATTCTCCTGCCTGGTCTCCTGGGACTACAGGCGCCCCCCCCCCCCCCCCACCACGTGGCCCTGGGCTATTTCTAACCATCTGTGTGCTCAGGCTTGGGTGAGGAACGCCTTTGTCTGCAGTGGGAATGTTCTACCCTACAACTTTACCATGTTGGGAAGCGGCTTGGGAATCCTCGTCATGATTCCCACACGTGTTCATTCCATTCCGCCCATGTGAAAAGCCTGGAGCCATCGAGTGCAACGAGCTAACAGGGTCCGGCTTCCCCGGGGAGGCTGTGGCGCTCAGGGGTTTAGGAGCCCCCAGTCTGTGCGTTCCCAGAGCCAGGGCTGGGAGCCCTGCCTGGCTTCTCTTTGAGAATCAGTTCTTGGAAATCTGCTGTGGCAACACTTCCCGGCACAACCATGGGTTCCTTTTGTGTCCCAGCTGGAGCCATCTCGGGGGTGGTGTTGGCTGCTGGCTTGAGACGACGCGGGCCCCACTCTCCCAGGAGCTCCGTGGCTCCTTTCTGCAGCTCCGCCTCTCCCAGCGGCTCCTAAACCCCAGGCTCAGGCCTTCTGGGCTCCATCCTTGTGCACAGGTGCCGCCTTCTCTGGCACAAGCCAACCATTACTCACAGCTAAAAACTTCAATCCAAATTAAAAAGAAAAAAAAATCCCCACCTCCACTGCCCAAGAAACAGGCCTCATTTCTCCTTTATTCTGAATCACAGCCAGCGGGTTCTCAGAATACTGGGCTAGAGGAACAATATGATGTCCTCCATCCATCCTGGCCACATTGTGAGCAGTCATTTCGCCATCCCAGGACCAGGAGAAGGTGTGGCGGGAGAGGCTTCCAGGCCCTGAGGCATCAGTGGGGTCCTAGGCCGTTGGGTTGAGGGGAGATGAGGAGGGCGGGCTGGGGGCCAGGGGACTCATGCAGCATGAAAGAGCAGGCTCTTAAGGCCCCATTCATGGGACACGTTTCCTTGATATGTGGTGACTTTTTCTGTTTTTTTTTTTTTTTTTGAGACATAGTTTCACTGTGTCGCCCAGGCTGGAGTACAATGGCACAATCTCCGCTCACTGCAATCTCTGCCTCCGGCGTTCAAGCGATTCCCCAACCTCAGCCTCCCGAGTAGGTGGGATTACAGGTGCCCGCCAGCAAGCCCAGCTAATTTTTGTATTTTTAGTAGAGATGGAGTTTCACCATATTAGCCAGGCTGATCTCAAACTCTTCACCTCAGGTGATCTGCCTGCCTCAGCCTCCCAAAATGCTGGAATTACAGGTGTGAGCCCCTGTGCCTGGCTGATATGTGGGGACTTTTCACATTTGAAGAGACCCAACCAACCTAAACCTACTGACCTCCTGCAACATAAAGCACAGATCCGTGAAGATCTGTAAGGCGCACATAAAGCACTGATGTGTGAAGACCTGTAAGACCACAGCTTCCTTTCCGAACACAGTGTGAACACAAGGCCGTGGAAAGACAACAGCCAGGATCAAGAACCCGATACCCGCTACATGTGAAAGCAAACTGTGGCTAACAACCTACAACTCCAGCCGGGCGCAGTGGCTCACGCCTGTAACCCCAGCACTTTGGGAGGCCGAGACAGGTGCATCGCTTGAGCCCAGGAGTTTGAGACCAGCCTGGGCAACAGGGTGAAACCCCGTTTCCACTAAAAATACAAAAATTAGCTGGGTGCGGTGGCATGTGCCCCTGGTCCCAGCTACTTGGGAGGCTGAGATGGGAGGATTGCTTGAGCCCAGGAGTTCAAGGCTGCAGTGAGCCATCATTGCACCACTGCACACCAGCCCGGGTGACAGAGCAAGACTCTGCCTCAAAACAACAACAAAAATGACACATATGGCGTAAGGGAATGACTCTCCAGTAATCTTTAAGGCATGACAGTGAAAAATATCATGTGAAAATAGGGATTTACCCTGACAGATAACACTGCGATTGCTCGGTCTCTCGGGAAATATGGCATCATCTGCAGAGAATCTGATTCGTGAGATCTATATCATTGGAAAACGCTTCAAGGAAGCAAATAAAGGCTGGGCGCAGTGGCTCATGCCTGTAATCCCAGCACTCTGGGAGGCTGAGGTGGGTGGATCACCTGAGGTCAGGAGTTCAAGACCAGCTTGGCCAACATGATGAAACCCCATCTCTACAAAAAATACAAAAATTAGCCAGGTGTGGTGGTGGGTGCCTGTAATCCCAGCTACTCGAGAGGCTGAGGCAGGAGAATCACTTGAACCTGGGAGGCGGAAGTTGCAGTGAGCTGAGATCGCACTACTGCACTCCAGACTGGGTGACAGAGCAAGGCTCCATCTCAAAAAACAAACAAAAAAAACCAAAAAGGAGCAAGTAATCTCCCATCATGGCCCTTCAAATTATCCTTTTCACGAGGTGGATGAAGAAAAAGCCCATCCATGTTACAGAAGGTGGAGCTGCTGTCAACAGGGAAGGCCAGATCAGCAGGCTTATCAGACGGGTGAATTAAAGTGTCTGCCATGATTATTATTGTTATTATTTTTGAGACGAAGTCTCGCTCTTGTCCCCCAGGCTGGAGTGGGATGGTGCAATCTCAGCTCACTGCAACCTCTGCCTCTGGATTCAAGCGATTCTCCTGCCTCACCCTCCCGAGTAGCTGGGATTATAGGCATCTGCCACCACGCCCGGCTGATTTTTGTATTTTTAGTAGAGACAGGTTTGCCATGATTATTTTTGTAATCTGGTCATTTAATAAACAGTGACTGCTCTCAAACTGAAAAAGTGTGTGTGGGGGGATCATTTAGCCCAAGAAACTACTCCCAACTGGGGTGTTCTCGGTTTTATTTTTATTATTATTATTTTTTTGAGATAGAATCTTGCTCTGTCGCCCAGGCAAGAGTGCAGTGGTGTGATCTCGGCTCACTGCAACCTCTGCCTCCCAGATTCCAGCAATTCTCTTGCCTCAGTCTCCCGAGTAGCTGGGACTACAGGCGTGTGCTACCATGCCTGGCTAATTTTTTGTATTTTTAGTAGAGATGGGCTTCCACCATGTTGGCCAGGCTGGTCTTGAATTCCTGACCTCAGGTGATCCACCCACCTCGGCCTCTGGAAGAGTTGGGATTACAGGCGTTGAGCCCCTGCACCCGGCCTCCTCAGTGTCTTTCTTTTTTTTTTCTTTTTTTTTGAGACGGAGTCTGGCTCCTCACCCAGGTTGGAGTGCAGTGGCACAATCTCAGCTCACTGCAAGCTCTGCCTCCTGGGTTCACGCCATTCTCCTGTCTCAGCCTCTTGAGTAGCTGGGACTACAGGTGCCCGCCACCACACTCGGCTAATTTTTTGTATTTCTAGTAGAGACAGGGTTTCACCGTGTTAGCCAGGATGGTCTCAATCTCCTGATCTTGTGATCCGCCCACCTCGGCCTCCCAAAGTGCTGGGATTACAGGCGTGAGCCACCGTGCCCGGCCTCAGTTTCATTTTTAAAATGAGGGTCTCGATAGGGTAAAATGTATTCTGGGATCTTTGAGTCTCATCCCTGGCGGTTCTGCTTTACCCTTGTCAGCTGTCTCGCCTGGAAAATGGAAATGTGGTATCCAGGCGCTGATGCTGAAGGTGGGGGAGGAGTCCCATGAGTCTCACCAGAGATGGCCAAGGACGCCGTCGAGGTGGGCTGTTACGGCCTGAACTGTGCCCCCACTTTCTCCAATTCCGATGTTGACGTTCTAACCCCCAGTACCCCGGAAATCAACTGTATTTAGAAATGGGGTCTTTACAGAGGTGATTAAATTCAAATGAGCCTGTTAGGGTGGGTCCTAATCCCATATCCCATATGACTGGTGTCCTTATCAGAAGAGGAGATTAGGACACAGACATGCACAGAGGGACAGTCATGTGAGGACACAAGGAAAAGTCGGCCATCCAGGGAGAGAGAAACCAACCTTTCCACGCCATGATCTCGGACTTCAGCTTCCAGAATGTGTGAGGATAATCGTCTGTTGAAGCCACCCCATCTGTAGTTAGTCCCCTGTGAGTTTGTCTGCCTCTCTGATTTCTTTTGGGAGCAGCTCATCGTGTTTCCCATGTGATGGGAGGAGCTGGAGGGCCCTCCCTTCTTAGGAAGACTGATCGGAGCTCACAGCCGCAGGGCAAGCTCAACTCTGTGGCCTCCATTTCGCAGATCCAATTAACATGCACCCCTTTAAAGAGCTGTCACTACCTGCAGCACACACCACTTTTCAAACCAGATTACACATTTTTTGCTTCTTCATCTGTTTAGCCACCGAGACTATGCGTTCTGATGTCTTGATTTACATATTTTTTACTTCTTCATCTGTTTAGCCGTCAAGACTGTGTGTTATGATGTCTTGATTTATTGATGTACTCTCAGCACCTGGCCCGGTGCCTGGCATAAAGTGGCTCCACACCAGAATGTCTGTTGGATGAATGAATGAATAAAATTACAACATCTAACAGTTGTCACATCCTCTCTATACATACTAAAAAAAAAAAAAAAAGTAATTTTAAGAAGTGTCATTGGCCAGGTGTGGTGGCTCACGCCTATAATCCCAGCACTTAGGGAGGTTGAAGTAGGAAGATCCCTTGAGCCCAGGAGTTCAAAACCAGCCTGGGCCACATAGGGAGACCCCATCTCTACAAAAAATAAAAAAAAATAAGCCCAGCCCAGTGGCACATGCCGTTAGTCCTAGCTACTCGGGAGGTTGAGGAGGGAGGATCCCTTGAGTCCAGGAGGCCAAGGCTGCAGTGAGTTGTGATCATGCCATTGCACTCCAGCCTGTACAACAGAGTGAGCCATCTCAAAAAAAAAAAATATATAAAAAAACATTTAAAAAAGAAAAAAGAAGACAGGAACTGTGGCTCACGCCTGTAATCCTCGCAATTTGGGATGCTGAGGTGGGTGGATCACCTGAGGTCAGGAGTTCGAGACCAGCGTGGTCAACATGGCGAAACCCCATCTCTACTAAAAATACAAAAATTAGCTGGGTGTGGTGGTGGACGCCTCTAATCCCAGCTACTTGGGAGGCTGAGGCAGGAGAATCACTTGAACCCAGGAGTGTGGGGGTGGGGGGTGCGGAGGTTGCAGTGAGCCGAGATCGCGCCGCTTCACTCCAGCCTGGGTGAAAGAGCAAAACTCCGTCTCAAAAAAAAAAAAAGGTATTTTAAGAAGTGTCTCATCTGTCAAGTTAGCTGGTATTAAATAAATAAAAAGAAAAAGCATCACTTGTTGGGCACAATGGCTCATACCTGTAATCTCAGCACTTTGGGAGGCTAAGGTGGGAGGATCGCTTGAGTTCGAGATCAGTCTGGGCAACATAGTGAGGCCCCCACCACCACCACTCTCCCTGTTCCTTGTCCCCACTCCCAATCTCTCTCTACCAAAAAAAAAAAAGAAAGAAAGAAAGAAACTGCTAGGAAGAAAGGAAAGAGCTTTTGTGGTTGTACTGCTATGCTATTGCCTACAGCATCAAACACTCAACTAACAGAAGGTGCCCAACACAGACACAGGTGTTTACTATTCACTTAACAAGCCTGCTAGGGGGCAGCTCCCAGTGGGCACAAGCCTTCCAGTAGTCTTTCCTTAGCACATTAGCAGACACGGTTTCCAAATTCCCAACAGATATTAATCTTCAAGACTCGAGAATGTCATTCAAAAACAAGGACACAGCCTGAATTCTAAATGCCAGGTTGTACTAAGGGAACACCTTGATCTTTGAGTCTTGACTGTGTTGTTGGGTTTTTTGTTGTTGTTTTTTTGTTTGTTTGTTTGTTTGTTTTTGAGACGGAGTTTTGCTCTGAGATGGAGTTTTGCTCTGTTGCTGGGCTGGAGTGCAGTGGCGCAATCTTGGCTCACTGCAATCTCTGCCTCCCGGGTTCAAGTGATTCTCCTGCCTCAGCCTCCCAAGTAGCTGGGACCAGGCGCGCTCCACCATGCCTGGCTAAGTTTTGTGTTTTTAGTAGAGATGGGGTTTCACCATGTTGGCCAGGATGGTCTCGATCTCTTGATCTAGTGATCCGCCTGCCTCAGCCTCCCAAAGTGCTGGGATTACAGGCATGAGCCACCGCACCCAGCCCCTTGACTGTGTTTTGTTCAGGGCATTCTTCGTACTAGTTGGTTGTGGTTATAAAACAATTAGTGGGCCAGGCACGGTGGCTCATGCCTGTAATCCCAGCACCTTGGGAGGCCGAGGCGGGCAGATCACAAGGTCAAAAGATTGAGACCATCCTGGCCAACATGGTGAAACCCAATCTCTACTAAAGATACAAAAATTAGCCGGGCGTGGTGGCGTGCACCTGTAGTCCCAGCTACTCTGGAGACTGAGGCAGGAGAATCACTTGAACCCAGGAGGCGGAGGTTGCAGTGAGCTGAGATCGCGCCACTGACTCCAGCCTGGGTGACAGAGCAAGACTCTGTGTCAAAAAACAAAACAAAAAAAAAAACACACAAAAAAATTAGCGAAACAGCTTACATTCATATTTATTTTATTTTATTTTATTTATTTATTTATTTATTTATTTATTTTTGAGATGAAGTCTCACTCTGTTCCCCAAGCTGGAGTGCAGTGGCATGATCTTGGCTCACTGCAACCTCTGCCTCCTGGGTTCAAGCAATTCTCCTGCCTCAGACTCCCGAGTAGCTGGGATTACAGGCACGCGCCACCACGCCTGGGTAATTTTTGTATTTTTAGTAGAGATAGGTTTCACCATGTTGGCCAGGCTGGTCTCAAGCTCCTGACCTCAGGTGATCCACCCGCCTTGGCCTCCCAAAGTGGTGGGATTATAGGCGTGAGCAACCGTGCCCAGCCCAATTTTCGATTCCATACTTCTGCCCCATGTTGTTTTGTCTCAGAATCCATTTCTTTAAAAAATAAATCTTTTGCAGATGTGGAAAAAAAAAAAGATATGGGCATGAGATATCAGAATTCCCCAAACCCTAAGTTATTTTGTATTTATTAAAAACATTGTGTTTACTTGCTTGTAAAGAATGGGTGACCATAATAAGCAGGTTCAGAGGTTTTCTGTAAAAAAATTTTTAAAAATCTGAAGTGCATGGTTCTTATTATAAACCAATATATTTTGACAATATTGTTTTTTTTTTTTTTTGAGACAGAGTCTCCAGGCTGGAATGTAGTGGCATGTTCTCGGCTCACTGCAACCTCTGCCTCCTGAGTTCAAATGATTCTCCTGCCTCAGCCTCTGAAATAGCTGGGACTACAGTAATGCACCACCACTCCTGGCTAATTTTTGTATTTTTAGTAAAGTCAGGTTTTCACTATGTTGGCCAGGCTGGTGTTCAACTCCCGGCCTCAAGAGATCTGCCCGCCTTGGCCTCCCAAAGTGCTGGGATTACAGGCATGAGCCACTGCGCCCAGCCAGTATTACATATTTTAATAACATAAAAAACCTCCATCTGATACAGATATTTGATAATAAAAAAATTAAAAGAAAAGAATATTAGTAAACAATAAATGTCAAATTAATTTTTAAAATCTTAGAATAATTCCACAAATATCCAACATTTAAAAGCTTAATTGTCCTATCTCATAATCTTGATCTTTGTTTCATCATAAATATTCCAGTTGTGGAAAAATTTCTTAGGACTGTGCCCAAAAGCATCCTCAAGTTGGGCAACAGGAAGAGTATAGGGTTGTTTGTTTGAGACAAGGTCTTGCTTTGTCACCCAGGCTGGAGGGCAGTGGTGCAATCACAGGTCACTGCAACCTCAGGCTCCTAGGCTCAAGTGATCCTCCCACCTCAGTCTCTAGAGTGGCTGGGACTATAGGCTCATGCCACCATGCTCAGCTCATTTTTTTTTTTTTTTTTTTTTTGAGATGAAGTCTCGTTCTGTCACCCAGGCTGGAGTGCAGTGGTGCAATCTCGGCTTGCTGCAACCTCCACCTCCTGGGTTCAAGCAATTTTCCTGCCTCAGGCTCCCTAATAGCTGGGATCACAGACACTTGTCACCATGCCTGGCTGATTTTTGTATTTTTAGTAGAGATGGGGTTTTGCCATATATTAGCCGGGCTGGTCTTGAACTCCTGACCTCAGGTGATCTGCCCACCTTGGCCTCCCAAAGTGCTGGGATTACAGGTGTAAGCCACCACACCTGGCCTCATTTTTTATTATTTTTATTTATTTATTTATTTATTTTGAGACAGAGTCTTGCTCTGTCGCCCAGGCTGGAGTGCAGTGGCGCCATCTCGGCTCACTGCAAGCTCTGCCTCCTGGGTGCACGCCATTCTCCTGCCTCAACCTCCCGAGTAGCTGGAATTATAGGTGTGCACCACCACACCCAGCTAATTTTTGTATTTATAGTAGAGAAGGAGTTTGGCCATGTTGGCCAGGCTGGTCTTGAACTCCTGACCTCAAGTAATCCACTCACTTCGGCCTCCATTAGTGCTGGGATTATAAGCGTGAGCCACCACACCTGGCCTTCGTTTTTAAATTTTTTTGTAAAACAGGGTCTCACTATGTTGCCCTCACCGATAGAGATTTTTTGTTTGTTTTTTGTTTTTTAATTTTGTGGTAAAATACACATAACACAAAATTTACCATCTTAACCACTTCTGAGTGCACAGTGCAGTGGCATTAAGTACTTTCTCAGTGTTTCACTGCGTGCAACCATCACCACCATCCATCTCCAGGATTTTTCTTTTCTTTTCTTTTCTTTTTTTTTTTTGAGATGGAGTTTCACTCTGTCACCTAGGCTGGAGTGCAATGGTAAGACTCGGGTCACCGCAACCTCTGCCTTCTGGGTTCAAGCGATTCTCTTGCCTCAGCCTCCCGGGTAGCTGGGATTACAGGCATGCGCCACCACGCCTGGCTAATTTTGTATTTTTAGGAGAGACAGGGTTTCTTTATGTTGGTCAGGCTGGTCTCGAACTCCTGACCTCAGGTGATCCACCCGCCTAGGCCTCCCAAAGTGCTGGGATCACAGGCATGAGCCACTGCGCCCGGCAGTCTCCAGAATTTTTCATCTTGCAAAACTGGAACTCTGTGCCCATTAAATAGTATCTCCCCATTTCCCTTCCCCCAGCCCCTGGCATGCACCATTCTACTGTCTGTCTTTATGGATTTGACTACTCTGGGACCTCAGGTAAGTGGAATCACACGGTGTTTACCCTTTGTGCTTGACTTAGTTCACTGGGCATAATGCCTTTGATACTCATCCGTAAGGTTACTTTTTATTTTTTTTTTAATTTTATTTTTTCTGAGACAGGATCTCACTCTGTCAGCCAGGCTGGAGTGCAGTGGCACGATCACCACTCACTGCAGGCACAACCTCCTGGGCTCAGGTGATCCTCCCACCTCGGCCTCCTGAGTAGCTGGGACTACAAGCGTGCACCCACCACACCCAGCTATGTTTTTGTATTTTTAGTAGAGATGGGGTTTCACCATGTTGCTCAGGCTGGTCTCAAACTCCTGGGCTCAAGCCATCCGCCCGCCTTGGCCTCCCAAAGTGCTGGAATTACAAGCATGAGCCACTGCACCTGGCCCAGATTACTTTTTTAATGGTGAAACTATTTCATCTGCTTCACAAAAAAACTATAGCCCACAGTGAATACTCAGACTCTGGAATGCCAGCAAATACACTGGGTAGGATTCAAATAACACGAACATTGAGATCTGTTAGCAAGGTTCACAGTGCTAATATTCAAAATCACACGTTGAAGTTGCCGGTTTGAGGACTTAGCTGCTTATTTCTTAGAATACCACTCATAGGATTTGGATAAAATACACTATGTGTGTAAACTCAACAACATTTATTTTCAAGAATAACTCACCATTTGGCAGAGGCAGGGGCCAGGGCAGGCATACACAACAGGGCACAGCCACAGGCAAGATGGACTGGTTCTCTCCCACATACTTCTGTCCCAGTTCTAGGAATGTTGGAATGTTGACCTTAACCTTCAGCTCCACGTGTCAGCGCTTCCTACTCTAGCTTTTTTTTTTTTGGAGACGGGGTCTCACTCTATTGCCCAGACCAGAGTGCAGTGGCATGATTACTTCTTCTGTTTTTTTTTTTTTTTTTTTTTTTTTTTTTTTTTTTTTTTTTTTTTTTTTTTTTGAGACAGAGTCTTGCTCTGTTGCCCAGGCTGGAGCGCAGTGGTGTGATTTCAGTTCGCTGCAATCTCTGCCTTCTGGGTTCAAGTGATTCTCCTGCCTCAGCCTCCCAAGTAGCTGGGATTACAGGCATGTGCCATCACACCAGGCTATTTTTTGTATTTTTTGTAGAGACGGGGCATGTTGACCAGGCTGATCTCGAACTCCTGACCTCAGGTGATCCACCCGTCTCAGCCTCCCAAAGTACTGAGATAATAAGCATGAGCCACTGTGCCCAGCCTGCCCTAGCTTTTTTTTTTGAGACGGAGTCTTGCAGTGTCGCCCGGGCTGGAGTGCAATGGCGCTATCTCGGCTCACTGCAACCTCCGCCTCCTGGGTTCAAGTGATTCTCCTGCCTCAGCCTCCTGAGTAGCTGGGATTATAGGTGCCTGCCACCACACCTGGTTAATTTTTTGTATTTTTAGTAGAAACGGGGTTTCACCATGTTGGCCAGGCTGGTCTCAAACTGCTGACCTCCTTATCCGCCTGCCTCGGCCTCCCAAAGTGCTGGGATTACAGGCATAAGCCACCATGCCCAGCCCTGCCCTAGCTTTTGGCTTGACATCAGTGCATTCCTTAGAGCTGGTAACCTCCCTCTATGTTAAGTTTGTTTCTCCTGTGGGAATCCTACTCTTCCCTTTTTTTCCCATCTATCAACTGATTTTTTTTTTTTTTTTTTTTGAGACCGAGTCTCACTCTGTCGCCCAGGCTGGAGTGCAGTGGTGCGATCTCGGCTCACTGCAGGCTCCACCCCCCGGGGTTCACGCCATTCTCCTGCCTTGGCCTCCTGAGTAGCTGGGACTACAGGCACCTGCCACCTTGCCCGGCTAATTTTTTGTATTTTTAGTAGAGACAGGGTTTCACCGTGTTAGCCAGGATGGTCTCGATCTCCTGACCTCGTGATCCGCCCGCCTCGGCCTCCCAAAGTGCTGGGATTACAGGCGTGAGCCACCGCGCCCGGGCTTGCTTTTTTTTTTTTTTTTTTTTTTTTTTTTTGAGATGAAGTTTTGCTTTTGTTGCCTGGCTACAGTGCAATGGCGTGATCTCGGCTCACTGCAACCTCTGCCTCCCAGGTTCAAGGGATTCTCCTGCCTCAGCCTCCTGAGTAGTGGGGACTACTGGTGACTGCCACCACGCCTGGCTAATTTTTTGTATTTTTAGTAGAGACGGGGTTTCACCATGTTGGCCAGGCCTGACCTCAGGTGATCCGCTCACCTTGGCCTCCCAAAGTGCTGGGATTACAGGCATGAGCCACTGTACTCAGCCTTATTGACTGATTTTTCTTGTTATTCAGGATTGGGAAAGGGACCGATTTCCTGTGAGATGGTGGGAAGGAATTTCCTGGAAGCACAGTGGGCAGAATCTTTCCTTATGGTCTCACAGCAGCTGCCACAGTCCCCAGTCCCAGTCCTCAAGGACAGAGGCCATGGGGCTTTCTTCTGCTCTCTCTTTCTTCAGAGAGGGAAGTCCCAGGAGTCTCCGCACACTTTCCCTTATGTGTCACAGATGAGAACAGGACTCTAGCTTGTCAGGGGCAAAGGGGAAGAAGATGCTAGCAGAGTTGGTCCAAGCCTGATTCATGCTGTGGGGACGGGCATGGCGCAAATATAAAAGACTTCCACCAGTGATAATACTGTTCATATGGCGCTTCCCAACTCAACCCTCACGGCAATCCTATGAGGTGGTGCTACCATCTTTGCTTTACAAATGAGGACATTTGGCCCAGAGAGGCCAAGCAGCTTACCTAGGAGTACACAGCTACGGCAAAGAAGCAGAGCCAAATCTGACACAAGCTACCTGTCTCCAGGGTCGGCATCCACACCCACTGTGCAGAGTGTCTTCAAAGAGGGCACGGTGACCAGGCAGGGGACCAGCTGGGGGGGGCTGCTGCAGTCAACTCTCATTTCCAGCCGTAAGAGTTCCTCAGCGAATATCGCAGGGTGGTCTGTGGGTGTTATTATCCCCATTTGACAGATGAGGAGAGTGAGGCTTAGTAGAGGTTAGTGCCTTGCCCCAGGGCAAGGTAAAGAGCTGGGAGTGCAGCTGAGACCTCTGAGAGTTGGACTACCTCTGTCTGGGCTCTTCTCCCTATAACAGCGGGACATTTTTATTAGGTGGCTCTGTTTGATGAACACAATGAGGTTGTCAAGAGAAGCAAGGTGCAAAATGCTTGACTTCCCTTTGAAATATAATTATACACATACATTATATTATGAATGAGACTAAAGTCTTCATGTCCAAGCAGGCAGCCAGGAGATGCCCAAAGGATTGGGAACCTCCCTATACCTGGCGTTGGGATAGGGGCAATGGAGACGATTTCAGACAAGATGGATCAGGAAGACAGATACAGAGACCAGGGCTCAGTACCTTGGTGTCCCACCCCTGGTGGAAGGGTTTGACTCCTGCTTTGGGGGCCTGGAGATAACTTTTGATGTAGCAGCAGGAACATTGGCTTTGGAGCCAGAGAGTTTTGAGCTCAAGTCACTGTTTTTACCAAATCATAAACTGTGGGGTGTGGGGTATGTTATCTAATCCTTCTAGGTCTCAGTATTTTCAACTGTAAAAGGATGCAGGATATACTTGTGAGGATTTGGGGAGTTAGATGGGTTAAAGATTTTTTGTAAAATGCTCTGGAAATTGTAAAATGCTCTGTAATTTTCTTATTATCACTTCATCCAGAGGTGTCCGTGTCCGTGCTCTTCGGACTGACCTGAACAAACCAAGTCATAGTCACTGATGGACCAATTTTCTTTCTTTTTTTTTTTTAGAGATGAAGTCTCACTCTGTCGCCCAGGCTGGAGTGCAGTAGCACAATCTCGGTTCACTGCAACCTCCGCGTCCCGGGTTCAAGCGATTCTTGTGCCTCTCAGCCTCCCAAGTACTGGGATTACAGGCGAGTGTTACCACGCTTGATTAATTTTTGTATTTTTTTTGTAGAGACCGTGTTATGCCATGTTGGCCAGTCTGGTCTCAAAATCCTGACCTCAAGTGATCCACCCGCCTCAGCCTCCCGAAGTGCTAGGATTACAGGCGTGAGCCACCGCGCCTGGCCAATGGACCAATTTTTAATTAATCGGTTTACCATGAGGCATCGAACTGCCATGGAAACCAGAACACTCAGGCCAATGATCTCCCCAGCTTATGGCCACTAGGGGCTCAGTTTTCTCATCTGCAAAATGGAAAGAATACAGGCATAGCCATGGGGAGAACTATTTTTTTTTTTTTTTTGAGATGGAGTCTCACTCTGTCGCCCAGGCTGGAGTGCAGTGGCACCATCTTGGCTCATTGCAACCTCCGCCTCCCAGCCCTGGAGAACTATTTTAAGAATGAAATGGTGGCCAGGGGCGGTGGCTCACACCTGTAATCCCAGCACTTTGGGAGGCCGAGGTGGGTGGATCATCTGAGGTCAGGAGTTTGAGAGCAGCCTGACCAATATGGTGAAACCTTGTCTCTACTAAAGATACAAAAATTAGCTGGGCGTGGTGGCGCATGCCTGTAATCCCAGCTACTCAGGAGGCTGAGGCAGGAGAATCATTTGAACCTGGGAGGCAGAGGTTGCAGTGAGCTGAGATCGTGCCACTGCATTCCATCCTGGGCGACAGAGTGAGACTTCATCTCGGAAAAAAAAAAGAATGAAATGAGATGAATAAGTAAAATGGTAGCTCTTGGCCCTGGGAATTGAATTATTTCGGCTGCACTGCAGACCAACTGGTAAAATGTTTTCTCTTCAGTTGTTCCTTAAAGAGGCCACTCCTTGATCACAACGACGTGGGGACAGGACGGGGAATTGAGAGCCCTGGGTTCACTCAAGGCTCCACCTCCAGCTCTGCCCCAAACTCTCTGAGTGTCTACAGGGAAATCTGTTTTGCATCTCTGGGTTTCAGCTCCCTTCTCTTAAAGGAACGACCACATCCTCCACCATCTACTGCCCTAGGGCTCCTCCAGCTCAGACCTCCCCCTGAACTGTGTTGTCACAGCACTCATTCATTAGGTGGCTTTACATGTTCTGGGTAGATTTGGGCACATCCTGATCTCTATGATTGAGGTCAGACCACAACGATCCCCGCAGGAACCTCCTTCTTAAGCCGCTTACATCTCTGGAGTGGAGAGGTGTCCTGAGTGATGCTCATGGTTGACAACTAACTGCATCATCCAGGCACCTTCTAGAGAGCAGAGGCTGGCTGACCTCCACCGCAGCCACATTTGCAAACATGAAACCCCAGGAGTAGTGATAAATTCTCTGCTCCCTCCTCACTCCTTCTATCATAATTTCTTTATCAAGTCTTTTACAGAAGAACTGGAGTGAAAACATTTTCCATCTTCACTGTTTTCCTGACAGAGCCTTGGGTGACAGCATGTCACCCAAGCTCTGAGAAATGTTTTCCAGATAAATACTTCTGGGAAGTAGTTTAGCTGGGTGGTATGAGTAAATCCATCTGAAAGTCATGTTAGCTTCCTGAAAGCAGTTCTCCATGGTTCTCACTTGTCCAGATTGAATTTTAATGAACATTTATTGGAGGTTTTCCTATTGATTATAATAATGACGCACATTCATGATAAAGTATCTAGAAAATAAAGACTAGCAAAATGAAAGAAATGCAGCTTCCAACCACAATCCCACTTAAAGATAACCACCGCGAACATTCTGATGGATCTCCTTCCAAGAATATATACATATATATATGCGGGAAGTGGGGAAAGATAAAGAACTAATTGACTACAGTAACAATATTTTCTTATGTAGACATATGTTTTTCTTTCATAATTTGAAACTTAAAATTTAATTTCTCATTTCAAGAATAGTTCATGTCATATAAAACTCATTTTATTAAAAATGTATCACCTTAACATTCTAGAGTTATTCATCTACAAGGTAAATTTTACATAATACATTCTTAATCTAAACACAGACTGTTTTCTTTTTCAAATTGGGGTTCACACTCTGTATACTTGTTTGAATTTGCTTTTTTAAAAAAGTTTTTGTTTATGTATAAAAATTAAGGCATACTCTACATATTAATGTACAGTTATTTGACAAACGTATATAGTAATGTAACTACCACCACAATCATGATATATGTAGTTATCTAAAATATGACTGTGGGCCAGGTGCGGTGGCTCACACCTGTAATCCTAGCACTTTGGGAGGCTGAGGTGGATGGATCACCTGAGGTCAGGAGTTCGAAACCAGCCTGTCCAACATGGTGAAACCCAGTCTCTACTAAAAATACAAAAATTAGCCAGGTGTGCCTGTAATCCCAGCTACCCAGGAAGCTGAGGCAGGAGAATCTCTGGAACCCCAGGAGGCGGAGGCTGCAGTGAGCCGAGATCACCCCACTGCACTCCAGCCTGGGCGACGGGGCAAGATTCAGTCTCAAAAAAAATGACTGTGAATGTCACCAAGTTTTCTGTCATTTGGAAGTGCAATAATTTAACCAATCTTGTTTTCTTGGCCATTTAGGTTGTTTACGATTTCCCCCTTACTGATTTTGCGATCTGGGGGAATGAAATAATAAATGAATTAAAATGAATGAGGGCCATGAGTGGTGGCTCATGCCTGTAATTCCAGCACTTTGGGAGGGTGAGGTGGGAGGATTGCTTGGGCTCAGGAGTTTGAGACCATCCTGGGCAACATGGTGAAACCTCTTTTCTACCAAAAATACAAAAAAGTTAGCCAGGCATGGTGGTCTGCGCTGGTAGTCCCAGCTACTTGTTGGGGAGCTGAGGTGAGATGACTGATGGGCCTGGGAGGTAGAGGCTGCAGTAAACTGTGTTCGAACCACTATATCCCAGCCTAGGTGACTACATGAGACCCTGTCTCAAAAAAAAAAAAAAAAAGAGAGAGAAAAAGAACAAAGGAAGGGTAAGGGGAGGGGAGGGAGGGAGAGAGAGAGAGGAAGGAAGGAAGGAAGGAAGGAAGGAAGGGAGGAAGGAAGGAAGGAAGGAAGGAAGGAAGCAAGGAAGGAAGGAAAAAGAAAGAAAAGAAAGAAATAAAATGAAATTCAGAATTCTCATTTTCCTGGAGCTATACCAACTGGGTGTCTCCCTTCTCCGCTGGAAAAATCCCACATCATTCAAGACCCAGCTCAGATATTGCCTCCTCTATGAAGCCCCCATGATGCCAGCTGGAGAGCGGGTTCCTCCCTTCCCTGTGATTCCACAGCACCAAGTCACACACTGTTTACGGGACAGACATTGCAATAGTCTGTTTTTCTTCTCTTTCTCCAGACTGTGAACTCATACTAGAAGTGATGTCTTAGCTCTGCGTTCCCAAGACCTAAGCCATGCTTGGCTCATACATGCTGCACAAATATTCATGAAATGAATGAACATTCTACCCTGCCGAACTAAATTTTGATCTTGAGCCGATTTTTCTTTTTTTTTTTTTTTTTGAGATGGAGTCTCGCTTTGTTGCCCAGGCTGGAGTGCAGTGGCGCGATCTCGGCTCGCTGCAAGCTCCGTCTCCCGGGTTCACGCCATTCTCCTGCCTCAGCCTCCCGAGTAGCTGGGACTACAGGCGCCTGCCACCACGCCCGGCTAATTTTTTGTATTTTTAGTAGAGACAGGGTTTCACTGTGTTAGCCAGGATGGTCTCGATCTCCTGAACTCGTGATCCGCCTACCTCGGCCTCCCAGAGTGCTGGGATTACAGGCGTGAGCCACTGCGCCCGGCCTTGAGCCGATTTCTTAGAAAACAGACACTTTATGAGCATGGTGCAAACATAAGCTGGCTGCATTAAGCAGGTACCCCTAAGGAGAGCTGGAAATTTGCTGGTTTCAGACAGTGGTTCAGGGGAACTTGGGAGTTGTGCAGAATTGCTGGGGTGTGGAGAGGTACAGGGTACTTGCAGAACACCTCATCTAAGCGATCAACTTTACAATTTTATTATTTTTGAGACAGAGTCTCGCTTTGGCACCCAGGCTGGAATGCAGTGGCACAATCACAGCTCACTGCAGCCTCGACCTCTCAGGCTCAAGCGATCCTCCCACCTCAATCCCCCAAGTACCTGGGACTACAGGTGTGGCCCACCTTGCTGGACTAATTTTTAATTTTTTGTATAGACATGGGTCTCGATATATTGCCCAGGCTCAAGCAATCCTCCCACGTTGGCCCCCCAGCGTGCTGGGATTACAGACGTGAGCCACTGCACCTGGCCAATGTTTTTTTTTTTTTTTTTTTTCTGAGACAGAGCCTCGCTTTGTCTCCCAGCCTGGAGCGCAGTGGCATGATCTCCTCATTGCAACCTCCACCTCCCAGGTTCAAGCTATTCTTCCACCTCAGCCTCCTGAGTAGCTGGGATTACAGATGCCCGCCACCACACCCGGCTAATTTTTGTATTTTTAGTAGGGATAGGGTTTCACCATGTTGGCCAGGCTGGTTTTGAACTCCTGACCTCAAGTGATCTGCCCACCTGGGTCTCCCAAAGTGCTGGGATTACAGGCTTGAGCCACCGCACCCGGCCTCACCTGGCCATTTTTACACTTTTAAAATAGCAAGAAACTAGGGGCAAAAAGTACATATTCATATCTATGTGTAGTCAGTCAATAAATATTTATTGAATGAACGAATAAATTAATGGAAGGTGTTCCAGATCCTGGTAGGCGAGAGTCAGTCGGAGGGAGTGCTTGTTCTTGGTGCACTCACAATGGAGAATCAAGGAATTCACCTTGGACGGGCTCATTTCTCCCTCTCCTAGGCCCCGTGCAGCCTCTTCTCAGACTTACTAGTTCTGAGGGGCTCCTGGCTGCCTCACACCAACAGCAGTGGCCAGTGGACACTGGCGATGGTGTCCTGACATTTTGGTTTGTGAAGAGTTTGTGCTCCGAGTCAAATCCTGGGAGGAGTGGGGAGGGCATCCGCTTTAATTAATTAGAGGTGTCTCTATTCATCTCCGTATCTGCAACATCTAGCACAAGACTTGGCCCATAGTAGATGTTTAAAAATTCTTGCTGAGGCCGGGCGCAGTGGCTCACGCCTGTAATCCCAACACTTTGGGAGGCTGAGGCGGGCAGACCACCTGAGGTCAGGAGTTCGAGACCAGCTCGACCAACATGTAGAAATCCCGTCTCTACTAAAAATACAAAATTATCTGGACTTGGTGGCGTGCGCCTGTAATCCCAGCTACACGGGAGGTTGAGGCAGGAGAATCACTTGAACCCGGGAGGCAGAGGTTGCAGTGAGCCGAGATGGCGCCATTGCACTCCAGCCTGGGTGACAAGAGTGAAACAACGTCTGGAAAAAAAAAAAAACTTGCGGAAAAGATGAAATGACCAAGACTCGCGCAGTGCTGCCCGTCAGGCTCTCAACTAGTCGCTCTTCACATCTGATTCATGTCTTAAAGCAGCCTCGCAGGTAGGTCTGCATCATTTTCCCATCCTACATCGGAGGCGCTGAAGCCCAGGCGGGTTTCCCGAGTCGCCCGGGCCCACGCTGCAGAGTGAAAGCCACAGCGGCAAAGCCTGCACTCTGGACGCTGCGCCGGGACGTCCCCAGGTGCGGCAGGCAGCGCTCCGTAAGTGGGTCCTGGCGGGAACTCCGTCCTTCTGAACCCAGATCAGGCCCAGGGAGACCGTAGGGGCGCCGCGGCGGGCGGGGTCTGGGTCCTCGGTGGTGACTGAAGCCTCGGTTCGCTCTTCTGCAAGGTGCGAATCCAGAGCCTCCAGCTCGGGAGGGACCTGACGTGCCGGACGCGTCCAGCTCAGAACTCGAGGCGCGGTAGACACTCAGCAAAGGCCTCCGGCGTCCCTGCAGCCGTGGGGGGAAACTGGGGACGCCCGGAGGAAGACGCTGACCCGGCGAGCACCTGAGCGCCCACCTGTGGCTCATCCCGGAGACCGCCCCCTCCCCCGCGACCCGGGCGGGGCCTGGGGGGCGTGGCTCCCGTCTCGCTCAGCCAATCAGTGCCCCGGGGCCGCCTCCCGCCCCCTCCTGAGGAGACAGCGCTTGCGTACTCGGGCCAAGGTGCTCCTCGGGCCCCGCCCCCGGGGCGGTGCTGACGCTCGCGCCGACGCGCTCGACGTCGGGCACGTAGACGCCGGCGCCGCGCAGCCGGGCCCGCTCCTCCTCCGCTCCGCCAGTGTCCGGCCGCGGGCCGGCCTTAGTGACTGGGGCGGCGGGCCCCGGGGCCGCGGCGTGGGGCGGGCAGGCGGACGCCGGCCGCGGGCTGCTTTCGTCGGCTCCCAAGCTCTCCCGGAGCGAGCAGCCGCCCGCGAGCCGCCGCGGAGCCTCCTCGCCCGCTCCCGCCGGCGAGCAAGGTAAGGGAGCGGGACACTGAGGCAGGCTCGGGGCCCAGGCGTCACCGGCGCGTCCCGGTCTCCGCGGCGGCCACGCAGCCGATTAGATGTCTCCGCGGGGAAGGGTGCGCTCCGGGACGGGTGGGGGCGAGGCCGCGGCGCCGGGTCGCGCTGGGAGAGCTCCGGCGGGACACCCGCGCCCCAAGGGACGGCTCCGGGGACTGCGCGCTGCCCCTCCCCGAGCCCCGCGCCCCGTGACCCGGGCGCTGGGGCGAGGGGCGGGGACCTGTGGCCGCTGAAAGCCCTGGCCCGAGCGGGCTCCGTTGTCAACGGTCCTCACCCCCCGGGGTTCGGGGCTTCCGCCGCACCTGATACAGGAGGGGAGGAGTGCGGCTCGAGCAGGCTGGAGGTCACCATCCCCATCAGGTGCGCCGTCTGGGGCATCCCCCTCTCAGGGGTCCACCGCGCCCCCAGTACTGCCCGAAAGGCTCAGAAGCGACTTCCCCTTTCCCTGGCGCTGTCTTTATATCCCAGACACTTAATAGACTCTCGTAATCTCACCTTTCACTTTTCCCTCTTTCCTAGCCGCCCCCGGCTGTATCGACCTGCTATATTTCCATTGTGGATTTTTTTTTTCGGTTGTAAACTTACGTAAGTTAGGTTGACCAACCGTTGCAGCCATTGGAAAACACTTCTACCAGCGTTTAACGAATCCGGTTCCTTTTAGTGCTCACCAAATCCAGCCCAAGAATTCAGGGAGCCGTCAGTTCTTCCCGGGAGCTGACTGCACACATTCCTGCAAGATGCCTGATGGATTTTGTACTTGTCAGTTTTGCTGGTTGTATGCTCCTTCTGTGCTTTTCCTGAAAAATGATTGGGTGACATGTGTTTTGACTTTCTCCCCCCCTACCCCCCCACCCTCCCCACCCCACTGGGAAGTAAAAAAAATAGGTAACAGAAGCACACTTGTTTTCAGCAAAAACAAGTACAGCTTTGCAAACAGACTACCCCAGGGCTTGCCCTTTTTTGTGAGGGTAGTCCTTTGGGATCTTGACCCCTTCCCTGGATTTTTGTCTGTGTTAATGTCTTCATGTTGTGTATTTTTGCACTTAATATTTGCCCTGTGTATGTTTTCCCAGCTTATTTACACACAAAGCATAACAGATCTGAGCATAATGAGACTGCCCATCTTTTTAGCTACAGATACCTGTAAAGTTGCATATTTGTGGGAACCTGTATTCTGAGCTTAATTACTGTAGCCTGGGTCTTTCATTTCAAGATGATGTGCGAGGTGATGCCGACCATCAGCGAAGCAGAAGGCCCCCCTGGAGGAGGTGGAGGCCATGGTTCCGGCTCCCCTTCACAGCCAGATGCAGATTCACATTTTGAACAGTTGATGGTCTCCATGCTAGAAGAAAGGGACCGCCTTCTTGATACACTGAGAGAGACTCAAGAAACGCTGGCCTTAACCCAGGGGAAGTTACACGAGGTTGGTCATGAAAGAGATTCCTTGCAGAGACAGCTCAACACGGCACTTCCACAGGTATGAGTGCTTTTAACCTGAAACTATAGATTTTTCTCCACTAAATGTTTTTTTATTAGTGTCATCTTTTGTTAATGTTTCAGATGAGTATTTTCCGTAACGATTTGTGAAATGATAGTTTCTGGTGTTTGTAAGTCAAATACAAAGTTCCTAGGGATTAAACTTCTTAGGGAGAACAAATCGTTGTACTCTAAAGTCATGTGAAAATACCTCATTATTTTCATTCCTATCTTTGGGAACTGCCTAGGTTCAGGAAGTTCTCCAGAGTTTTTGAAAAAGGGCTCTGAAGCAACCAATCTATTTGGTGCCTCCATTCTGTTGTCTTAAGCCTTTTCTGGCTAAACTTGTACTTCCCATGGATTATCTCATGTATTTCTAATTTCCTAATGTAATTTAATAGACAAATAGGATTGATTTCACGGAAAAAAAAAATTATTTTGATAGCCCACCTTTATCAGAACATCTAGGTTTTGTAAGTCACATTTGTTTTAGGGGATAGAAGACTCGAGATTGATTCCTTAGGAACTTTTTCCTTGGCAGATGAGAATTTTAAAGCTTAGGCCGGGTGTGGTGGCTCATGCCTGTAATCCCAGCACTCTGGGAGGCTGAGGCAGGCGGATCACCTGAGGTCAGGAGTTTGAGACCAGCCTGGCCAACATGGCAAAACCCTGTCTCTACCAAAAATACAAAAATTAGCAGAGCGTGGTAGCGCGCATCTGTAGTCCCAGCTACTCAGAGGCTGAGGCATGAGAATCACTTGAACCCGGGAGGTGGAGGTTGCAGTGAGCCAAGATTGCACCACTGCTCTCCAGCCTGTCTCAAAAAAAAAAAAGATTTTTAAAGCTTAGAACAACTGAAATTGTTTCTCTGAGTATGTTACATTTGGACCAGTGTTTGAAAGACTTTGCTCATGGAGTTGAATGAGGATTTACTTAATGGTAGGTAAAGGGAGAAAGTAAAAACTAGAAGAGTGTAAGGTGAGTGGCACGGGGCATAGTGGGAGAGAAGTGGGTTATTTATGTGTTTCAGAGCTGTCTAGGCGCCACGTTACTCATCATAAGTGCCTTTGGGGTGCATTCAGGTAGACCCGCATAAGCACACATTTATACTCGCATGATGGGTCTGCAGTGATAAATTAGTAAATGAATAAGTACTAGCCTTAATGTGTTTCTTGGCTGTAGTCAGTTCTCCTGAAAGATTGATAAGCCAAACGTGGGTTTCCTTTTTAGCAACAATAATTTGACGTTAGCGCTCTATGTTCCTTTTTTGTTGGATTAAAGAATCATTAAGATTTTTCTTATTTCAATCTTATAAATTACCAAGTTTATTTATGTTGAATTTTATTACTACAATTTTAAAAGAAGTAGCCAATTTATGTTTTACCAGGATTTTATTGTATTTGTAATTTAAGGTACACGTATTGAAGTGTATATCAAATACTAATATACTTAATAAGGTAGGTTTTGGAAAGAATGGGCACACAAGACATGTCAGGGAAGTGACAGGAGTTTTGTACAGTTAGTCGCAGGCTGTGGAGGTTGTCACACACACTGGTGACATGGTTGCTCAGTGATTTGTTTCTGGCACTGCTCAGTGTAGCAGCCTGGGAATGCCTAGTTCAGTGGATAACATGATGATGCCAACGGTTCACGTTACCACCTGAGCACCTGATTCCAGCCTTTCAAAAATGGAAACTATTAAGTAAACTTGTTTTGGACCCTTCCCTTTCCTGGCATCTGGTTCATCTTTGGTGGCTGGTAGTGTGACCAGATAATGAGTCCAGGAAGTGCATTTGTGCTCCTGGCACATTGTGGAGGCAAGTTAGAGTGTACTTAAAAATATACATAACTATAGCATACAGCAGAAAAATTCACAAATCGTAAGTATACATCTCAGTGGACTTTTCACAAAGTTAACACACTTGCATACCACCACCCAGATCAAGAAATGGAACATTATCAGGCTTCCTAGAAGTCCCCTCCTAACTATTCCCAGTAGTTGTCCCCCAGAGCTAACCAAGGTCTTGACCTTTCACCATTGATTACTTTTGCCTGTTCTTGACTTTGTTTAAGTGAAGTAAAATAATCTGTATGTTTTGCTTCTTCATTCTGTCGTCAGCATCATGTTTGTGAGATGCAGCTTGCTCATTCTCACCTGCTCTCTGGTCATCCCGTGCACGAACAGACAGAACTTATTCTTTCTACTGCTCACAGACATTTGGGGTTGTTTCCAGTTTTTACACGTGCTCCCCTAATATTGTTTGTTTTTTGGTGCAGATGTCTATAAACTTTTTTTTTTTTGAGATAGGGTCTCACTCTGTTGCCCAGGCTGGAGTGCAGTGGCATGATCTCGGCTCACTGTAGCCTCCACCTCCCAGGTTGAAGCGATTCTCCTGCCTCAGCCTCCCAAGTAGCTGGGAATACAGGCACGCATCACCACCCTCCGCTAATTTTTGTATTTTTTGTAGAGGTGGGGTTTTACCATGTTGCCCAGGCCGGAGGATATGTGTACACTTCTGTTGGATTTCTACAAAGAAGTGGAATGCAAATGATGGTGTGTGCATTTGTTCAGCCTCAGTAGAGAGTGCCAAAAGTGGTGGTTGTGACAGTTTGTACTACCCCAGCAATGTATGAGAAGTCAGTTGCTCCTATGCTCTTCAGCACTTGGTATTGTTGGGTCTTTACATTTTAGCTGTTCTGGTGGCTGTTAGCTGGTAGGTGGCTCAGTATGGTCTGAATTTGCTGCTCCCTGATGGCCAGGAACATGCAGAGGTAAAGCATCTCTACCTGTGTTCACTGGCCACCTGGATGTCTTTTGTGAAACGGTTATCTTTTGCCCATCTGTTGATTGGGTTGTCTGTTTTGTTTTTTACTGATTTGAAGGAGTTTTCTCTATATTCTGAGTACATATGTGCATGACAGATTGTTTTTAGACTCTTGTGTTTGCCTTTTCACTCTCTCAGTTGTATCTTTTGATACATAGAAGTGTAAAATTTTTAATGTAGCCCAGTTGATCCATCTTTTCAGTAATGTTTAATGCTCTTTGTGTCCTGTTTAAGAAATTTGCTTGGTCAAGTTCATGAGATATTCTACATTGTCTTCTAAAAACTATTTTTTAATCTTCCATCTGAAATTGACTTTGTTTATGGTATGCGATGGGGCCAAGAGTCTCTCTTTCTTTTTTTAAATGGATATCTAGTTGACCTTGCATAATTTCTTAAAAGACTATTCTTTCCCCAGTGTACTACATGCAGTGTCATCTCAGTCCAGTGACTGTAAGTGTGTGGGTCTGTTTCTGGACTCTCTTCTGCTCCTTTGATCTTTTTGTCATCTTTGCACAAATAGCACAATGTCTAAATTCCCATAGATATAGTCTGTCTTGAGATCTGGTAATTTAAGAAAAGGGTACTCACTCGGTTGCCCAGACTAGTCTCCAACTCCTGGTGTCAAGCGATCCTCTCACCTTGGTCTCCCAAAGTGCTGGGATTACCACTGTGAGCCACCACACCTGGCCCTGTAGATATTCTTTATCAAAATGTA
The DNA here is from genome assembly GCF_000001405.40 of Homo sapiens. Lineage (NCBI taxonomy): Eukaryota > Metazoa > Chordata > Mammalia > Primates > Hominidae > Homo > Homo sapiens. Next base: position 31,797 of record NW_021160005.1, read on the forward strand.
AAAATTCTCCTCTTCTTAGTTTGCCAAGAGTTTTTTAAAAACCATGAGCAGGTATTAAATTTCTTAACATGGATTTTCTGCATCTTTTGAGACAGTCATGTGATTTTTCTGTTATGTGGGAATTTAACTGTTTTTGTTTGTTTATTTTTGAGATGGGGTCTTGCTCCATTACCCAGCCCGGAGTGCAGTGGCACCATCATAGCTCGCTGTAGCCTTGAACTCCTGGGCTAAAGTGATCTTCCCACCTCAGCCTCTCAAGTAGTTGGAATTATAGACGCACGCCACTGCGCCTTGCTTTTTTTTTTTTTTTTAATTGCATATTGTTTGTAGCCTGGGGAAGCAACTTCAGGAGCTCCTGAGAAAGAGCACCTCCCTTTTAAAAAAAATTTACAATTGTAGAATAATTCCAACCTGATCTTGATGTATTCTCCTTTTACTGGATTATATTTGGTAGTATTTTGTTTAGGATTATTGCATTTATATTCACGAGAAAGATTGACTTATAATTTCAGTTTCCTTCAGTACCCTTGTTGGGATTTGGTATCAAGGTTATGCTGGTTTCTTAAAACAAGGTGGAATGTATTCCTTCTTTTTCTACTCCCTAGAAGAGTTCCTACGAAATTTGTGTTTTCTTCCTTAAATGTTTGAAATAATTCTTTGGCAAAACCAGCTGGTACAGGGTTTTCCTTGTGAGAAGGAAAAATTTTAGAATTAATTTTATAGGTAGATGTAGGATTTTGAATATTTCTTCATGTGTCTATTTAGATAAAGCATTTTTCCCCGCTAGAGATTTGTTCAGGCCACCCAGACTTTCCAATTTGTAAGTTTAAAGTGGTTTGTAATCCTTATTATCTGCAAGATCTGTAGTGATGTTCCCTTTTAATAATTCTTGATATCAGTAATTCATATATTATCTCTTAATCAGTCTTGTTGGGGGTTTGTCAATTTTGTAAGTTCTTTTAAGGGACCAACTTTCGGCTTTACATTTTTTTCTACTTACATTTGTTTTCTATTGCATTAATTTCTACTTTTTTTTTTTTGCTTTTTTTTTGTTTGATTGAGATATATATATATATATATATATATTTTTTTTTTTCCAGGCACAGTCTCATTGTGTCTCCCAGGGTCAAGTCCTTAGATACTTGAACTGGATTTAACTCCCTCCTACCTTTTGTGTCATTGTTTTATATATTTCAGTTTAATTTATATTTATTTTTAAAAATAGAGACAGCGTCTTGCTGTATTGCCCCAGCTGGTCTTCAACTCCTGGCCTCAGGTGATCCTCCCCCCTTAGCCTCCCAAAACAATGGGATCCAGGCGTGAGCCACTACACGCTTTTAGCTGCATCTTACAAGTTTATGTACTTTAATTTTAGATATACTTTTGCAGTATCATAATTATTTTGTACAGTTAATGTTTATTTAGATTTATCCTCTTAGTTACCATTTTTGTTGCTCTTCATTCTTTATTGTTGTTTCATGTTTCTGCCGGGGATTATATTTCTTGTTTTTTTTTTTTCTTTTTTTCTTTTTTGAGACAGAGTCTCGCTCTGTTGCCCAGGCTGAAGTGCAGTGGCACGATCTTGGCGCACTGCAACCTCCATCTCCCATGTTTGAGCGATTTTCTTGCCTCAGCCTTCTGAGTAGCTGGGACTATAGGCATATGCCACCACATCCGGCTAATTGTTGTATTTTTAGTAGAGACTGGGTTTCACCATGTTGGCCAGGCTGGTCTCAAGCTCCTGACCTCAAGTGATCTGCCTGCTTCAGCCTCCAAAGTGCTGGGATTACAGATGTGAGCCACTGCGCCCAGCCTATATTTCTTTTCCCTGAAGAACTTTCTACGGTATTTCTTTGAGTTCATATCTGTGGATAATGAATTGTCATTTTTGTTTGCCTGAAAATTTTCTATTTTGCCTTTAGTTTTTGTTTTGTTTTGTTTTGTTTTGTTTTTTAAGATGGAGTCTCGCTCTGTCGCCGGTCTGGAGTGCAGTGATGTGATCTTGGCTCACTGCAACCACCGCCTCCCGGGTTCAAGCAATTCTCCTGCCTCAGCCGCCCGAGTAGCTGGAACTACAAGCACGTGCCACCACGCCCAGCTAATTTTTGTATTTTTAGTAGAGAAGGTGTTTCACCATGTTGGCCAGGATGGTCTCTATCTGTTGACCTGGTGATCTGCCCTCGTCAGCCTCCCAAAGTGCTGGGATTACAGGCGTGAGCCACCATGCCTGGCCTTTTTTTTTTTAAATGTGATGTTTCACCATGTTTGCCAGGCTGGGGTCAAACTCATTGGCTCAAGCAGCTGCCTGCCTCAGCCTCCCAAACTGCTGGGATTACAGGTGTGAGCCACTGTGCCCAATTTGCCTTCAGTTTTGAAGGATGATTTTGCTGGGTATAGAATACTGGGATCGTGGTCATTTCCTTGCACCATTTTGTAGCAGCGAATTCATTGTTTTTTTAGCTCGCTTCCTTTTTCTTGACAAGTCAGCTTTTGGTGTTATTGTTGTCCCATTTGAAGTAATACTTCTTTTTATTTTCCCCTCTGGTTGCTTTTTATTTTTATTTTTTGGAGAGGATATGACTTTTACTGAGTTTATCCACCAGAGTGGAAATAATGTTTGTGCAAAACCAAATGTTTGTTACTATAACTCTCCATCACAATTAAAATCCAAACAGTTTTTTGAAAACAGTCAACTCAATCAAAACCCACTACTTCAGAATCAATAGCTTCTTTGAAGCCACAGTAACAAATATGGTTAAGACTTGAATGTAGAAATTTGTTGGTTGGAAAGCTAATTAAACTTCCAACTTGCTCAAGTAGAATTACAGAAAGGCAGAATTGTGTTTTTCACAGAGATATAGTTCACTGGAATCAGCCACACTGGACAGCTGGTAGAGTGTTTAGGGTCCTGAGATAATAAGGAATCCAGGCAGCCTTTAGACAGTCTGCTGTTGTCCTTTCTTCCCAATTAGAGATTTGTGGATGTGTGGAATGACACCTTTACCAGCAATTGTAGACTTGAAGAGAGAGCCCAATTCTTTATCTCCACGAATGGCAAGTTGCAAGTAATGAGGGGTAGTATGCTTTACTGTGAAGTCTTTTGACGCATTTCTTGCCAGTTCAAGTACCTCTGCGGTGAGGTACTCCAGGATGGCTGTGCTATTCACAGCGGCAGTCGCGCCCACACGTCCAGGACTGATTGTCCTAGATTTCAGGTGTCAGTGAATACGGCCCACCAGGAACTGCAAATTGGCTCTCTTGTGAGTGGGAAGCTGCCTTTGTTGGCCTTTCTGGAGTCCTTCCCAGCCTTACTGCCAGCCATTTTCAATTCTGCTGAAGCTCAAACAGGCAAGGCAGAGAAAGGACTAATCAGACACACAGCAAGATCTCACCATCTACTCATTCCTCACACCAGGATTTGAAGCTGCCTCTGGTGGCTTGTAACATTTTCTTTGCTTCAGGCATTAGCAAAACTTGGTATTTGTTGTATTGGTGGCCTGGTTCCTAATCAATTTTGGAAGTTTTGGCTCTTCTCTCTATAAATATTCCTATTTTCCACTCATCTTCACTCAGAGGGCCTCCATTTTTGTGTACATTAGGCATTTTTTTTTTTTTTGAGATGGAGTTTCGCTATTGTTGCCCAAGTTGGAGTGCAATGGTGTGATATACATTAGGCTTTTATCATGTCCTATGTGTCTCTTGTGCTCCTTTCCGTATTTTCTAGACCTTTTCTGTGTATGTGTCTAGGTGTGTGTGTGTGTGTGTGTGTGTGTGTGTGTGTGTGTGTATTTAGTTTTTAGAGACTGGGTCTCTCTGTTGCCCAGGGTGGTCTTGAACTCTTGGGCTCAAGCAGTCTTCCTGCCTTGGCCTCCTAAACTGTTGGGACTACAGGCGTGAGCCACCGTGTCCGGCCTGTGTGTGTGTGGGGGATGTGTGTGTGTGTATATTTTTGGGACAGGGTCTCGCTCTGTTGCCCAGGCTGTAGTGTAGTGGTGCAGTCTCAGCTCACTGCAGCATCTGCCTTCTGGGCTCAAGCGATCCTCCCACCTCAGCTCCTGAGTAGCAGGGACTACAGGTGCGTGCCACCACACCTGGCTAATTTCTGTATTTTCAGTGGAGGTGGGGTTTTGCCATGTTGCACAGACTGGTCTCAAACTCCTGGACTTAAGTGATCCACTTGCCTCAGTCTCCGAAAGTGTTGGGATTACAGGCATGAGCTAGCATGTGTGTATATATGTGTGTATATATATATACGTACATACATATATATATATAAATATATATGTATATAAAAATTTTTAAGAGACAGGTGGCTGGGTGCAGTGGCTCACGCCTGTAATCCCAGCACTTTGGGAGGCCAAGGTGGGTGAATCACTTGAAGTCAGGAGTTCGAGACCAGCCTGGCCAACATGGTGAAACCCTGTCTCTACTAAAAATACAAAAAATAGCCGGGCATGGTGGCACATGCCTGTAATCCCAGCTACTTGGGAGGCTGAGGCAGGAGACTCACTTGAACCTGGGAGACGGAGGTTGCAGTGAGCCAAGATCACGCCATTGCACTCCAGCCTGGGTGGCAAGAGCGAAACTCCGTCTCGGGGAAAAAGAAAAAGACAGGCACCCTGTTGTTGCCGAGGCTGCAGTGCAGTGGCGCGCGTGATCACTGTTCACTGCAGCCTCAAACTCCAGGGCTCAAGCAATCCTTCTGCCTCAGCCTTCTGAGTAGCTGGGACTATAGGTATGTGCCACTGTGCCCAGCTAATTTTTAAATTTTTTGTAGAGGCAGGGTCTTGCTATTTTGCCCAAGCTGTTCTTAAACTCCTGACCTCAAGTGAGCCTCCTACCTTGACATGTCAAAGCACTGGGATTACAGGTGTGAGCTATTGTGCCCAAAATCTAAAGTCCAGATTTTTTTTACTGACCCATCTTCCACCTCACTCATCCCCTCTTCATTTGTGTCCAATCTGCTGTTTAGCCCATAGATTGAGTTCTTAATTTCAGTTATAATTTTCAGTTCTAGAGTCTGCTTAATTCCTTTTACTATTCTAGTTCTCTAGTGAAATTTTTTCCTTTTGTCAAGTATATTTTTGAATAGTTGACATTTGCATCTGATAACTCTATTATATGGGTCACCTCCGGATCCATTTCTGTTTTTCTTTTTTCTCTAGGTTCATTTGTTGATAACGCCCATTTTTGTTTTTTTAATTGAGTCAGACATTATGTATGAAAAACTGTAGAAAGCGCTGGGTGATGCTGTCTTCCTTCAGAAAGTTTCCCTCTGTCATCTGGCACATGCCCAGAGTAGGGACAGATCATCTCAGCTCAGTCAGGGCCTGGGTGACCAGAGGCTGGGATTCAGTCAGTAAGCGTCAGTTGAAGCTGCCTTCCCCCAACCTCCTGCTCCTGGTGTAACCATCCGGGGGTTCCATCTGAAACCCTGGAGTGTTTCCCAGGGCCCCTCTTTCTTGGCGTGTCCTGGAGCCCAAGTTTTGTCTCCTTAACGCCATGAGACTACTGAAAGCCCAGCTTCTCGGCCAGGTTTGCAGAGTGTTGGGCTCATTTCCTGTGTCTCCCTTTTCTCTGGGATCTTGGCCCCTTAAGTCCTGGCTGACTGTCAGGCCTGTACTTCTTTTTGTCTCCCCAGACCCTTGGGGCTTTCTAGAGCTCTGTAGCCTCTACTTTCTGCTGAGTTTTCTTCCCAGTTATCAGTGTACTGCCCCCAAATCCTTCCAAATTGTCAAATGCACTGACAGAAAGAGTGGGGGCTCTGAATAGTGGACTCACCTCAGTGGGCCTCTCTTTGGTTTGGAATGTTGGTCCCTTCATTTGTGGCTGCCTTGGCATCTCTTTGATGCCTGCAGACTTTCAAGTCATACTCACCTTTTCTAGTTTTTGGTGGGTTGCCGGGCTACAGGCCACCCCGCGTATCACTGAAACTGGAGCTGAAGCGGGCGTGCTCTCTCTGTCTGCAGCATATGCGGAGTCTGGAGACATTGGTTATCATTACTTGATAGGGAGCATACAGAACCCACTCACCTCGCTTAGGCTACCTTGTCCAGTTTCTTTTTTTTTTTTCCAGTCTGCTTCTCATGACATTGTCCAGTTTCTAATCAGAATCCCCCATTTGCCCCTGCCCAGTCACTTAACCACTTAAAGACAGTAGAGCAAGTGGCCTGCCCAGCGGGAGACACAGCCCTTGGCCTCCAATTCCCGTCTTGGCCACTGTGTGGGCTGTTCCACCCTGCTGTAGTCTCTACTCTTCCCCATGCCCTGTGTCAGACCGAGGGAGGGTTTGTGATGACATATCTGGCAGTGGCAAAGAAGGAGGCTAGGGAGGTAGGAGAGGTTGTGTGCGTGGTGTTTAGTCTTACTTTGGAGATGGGGTCTTGCTGTGTTGCCTAGGCTGATCTCCAACTCCAGGGCTCAAGCCATCCTTCTGCCTTGGCTTCCTGAGTAGCTACCACTACAGGCATGAACCAGTGTGCCCAGCTACCTAATGTTTATTCTATGACTTGATCCCATGTATGTTTCCTTTTTGAGTGCTGATTTTTTTTTTTTTTTTTTTTTTTTTTTTGAGATGGAGTCTTGCTCTGTCACCCAGGCTGGAGTGCAGTGGCGTGATCTCGGCTCACTGCAAGCTCCACCCCCTGGGTTCACACCATTCTTCTGCCTCAGCCTCCCCAGTAGCTGGGACTACAGGTGCCCGCCACTACATCCAGCTAGTTTTTGTTTTGTATTTTTAGTAGAGACAGGGTTTCACCATGTTAGCCAGAATGGTCGCGATCTCCTGACCTCATGATCCACTGCATGCCTTGGCCTCCCAAAGTGCTGGGATTACAGGCGTGAGCCACCGTGCCTGGCTTTTTTTTTTTTTTTTTTTTTTTAAGAAGGAATTTTGCTCTTGTCGCCCAGGCTGGAGTGCAATGGTGCGATCTCAGCTCACTGCAACCTCCATGTCCCAGGTTCAAGCGATTCTCTTGCCTCAGCCTCCTGAGTAGCTGGGACCATAGGCGTGCATCACCATGCCCGGCTGATTTTTGTATTTTTAGTAGAGACGGGGTTTCACCATGTTGGTCAGGCTAGTCTTGAACTTCTGACCTCAGGTGATCTGCCCGCCTCAGCCTCCCACAGTGCTGGGATTACAGGCATGAGCCATCATGCCTGACCGACTGACCGAGTGCTTTTTTTTTTTTTTAAAGCAAATATTGCCTTTGGGCTTCTCTCTAATTTCATTTTAAAGTTTCAGTTGCATTTTCAAATGGAGATTTTATTTTAAACTGGAGTGCAGTGATTTTTACAGTCTTTTTGAAAGCAACAAATGAGATTTTTAGAAGACCTCTTGCTTGAAGAACTCTTTTGTGTGAAACCTAGAAGAGAGACTGTTCACCTTTCATTGCAGGTGAGGTCCCAAATTTTGCCAGTCTCTCTCCCAATCTGCCAATCCCTGAAGCAGGGGGTACAAAACTCAGAAGATTCTAAGGAATGAGGTCTTCAAATCAAATCCAAACTTAGTGAAAAAGAAGTCTACCTGTGTCAGGGGTGTTCCCTGTCAAAGTGATGGGTGAGCTTCAGCTGGTTGCAGTGGAAGGTGTGCTGGATGGATTGAGGAGGCGAGAGGGTGCAAGACAGCCCATTTAGGAGGCAGTTCCTGCAATGTGGGCATGAAGTGTTACAGCCCAAACTAGGATGCTAGAATCCGAGGGCAGAGGGCAGTAGAAAAGAACAACCTGGCGGAATTGTGTAGGACTAGAGGATGACAGCCGAGTGGCAGATACCAGGGTCAAGCTTGCGGGGAGAAGGGGGACGGGGGTGGGGGAGAGTAAAGAGGAGACGCTGGTGTTTGGTGGTGTTGAGAGGTATTTGTGGTTGTCACAGCTAGGGCAGGGATGCTCCTAAACATTCTGCAGTGGAGCCCCCTCAACAAAGAATTATCTGGCCCCAAATGTTGGAAGTGTCCAGGTTTAGGTATAAAGAATCAGAAGCTTTTCTCAAGTATTGCTGTTAGGTTGGTGCAAAAGTACTTGCGGATTTTGCTTTACTTTTAATGGCAAAAACCGCAATTATTTTTGCTTCAACCTAATATGATGCAAAATTGGCTACAACTGTAATTTGTTGAGTGCTGCAAACAAGGTACTTGCTAAGCTTAACTTTAGTGAACAAATTAGGAAGAATTGGAATAAGGTAAAACTAGCTAAATGACTCTTCCCTGAGAATAAATACTAATGACTGCCCCTTCAGATGGTGCCCCCTCATCTGCTTTACTGACTGTTTCTTAGTAGTAGTTGGCAAAACACCTCTTAAAATACCATACTTGTTTTCATCGTCTTTGGTGTATGAAATAGTTGAATATATCCTTTCAGAATAATATTTGGCCATTTACATCTCTCTTTTGCACACACTGAATTTGCCATCTTGTCTTCCTGTTCCTACACCTTTAATTGTCAGCAAGGAGACAGAGTCCTTCCTCCTATTTTGTTGAGCCCTGTGTGAATATTACCGTTCTAGGCTCCTGCAGTCAGTGGTAGAGACAGGGTCTCTGCCTGCAGAAGACTTTCACAATATACCCATGCTCAAAGCAGGTGCAGGTTGCGAGACACATCCAGATAGAATGAAGTGGTTCAGAAGAAATCCATGATCTCGACTGAGTGGGGTGGGCTGCCAGGCACACTGTGGTCCAGAAAGGTGAGGCTTTCGAGGGGATTGGCTTAGAGCTGAGGGATGAAGGCTAAGAGGAACCAGGTATGAGAGCTTTCTTGGCGGTGGGGCTACTTGAGCAAAGGCCAGAGCAAGGGAGAGCTTAGCATTTAGCTGAGTCAAAGCTGGGGTCTGTGGCCATGGTTACTTGGCCTGGAGGGAAGGGAAGAGTGAACATGGTAAGGTTGGCTAGGTAGGTTGGGATGGGATCAGACAGAGGTGAAGACTTGCTTGTTTTTGTTTTAAGTACCTTAGGGCTTCAGTACTTTGCGTGCATCGTGGCCTCAGGGGAGGGAATGATGTGATTTAGCTGCGTTGTTATTTATTTATTTTTATTTATTTATGTATTTCTTTATTTAAGATGGAGTCTTACACTGTTGCCCAAGCTGTAGTGCACTGGCATGATCTCGGCTCACTGCAACCTCTGCCTCACAGGTTCAAGCGATTCTCCTGCCTCAGCCTCCCAAGTAGCTGGGATTACAGGCGCCCGCCACCGTGCCCGGCTAATCTTTAGTAGAGACGGGAGTTTCACCACGTTGCCCAGGCTGGTCTTGAACTCCTGACCTCAGGTGATCCTCCCTCCTTGGCCTCCCAAGTTTTTAAAAGATCATGCTATGTGGATAATGAGCTGGGGATGGAGGGAAGAATGGACCTAGGGTGGAAACCACTGGTTAGAGTAGAGCCACTTCAAGTGCATGGGTTTGGGCTATAAAGTTAGTGCTGTGAGCAAAAATTAAAAACTCTTGCCGGGTGCGGTGGCTCATGCCTGTAATGGGAGGCCGAGATGGGCAGATCACGAGGTCAGGAGTTCGAGACCAGCCTGGCCAACATGGTGAAACCCTGTCTCTACTAAAAATACAAAAATTAGCTGGGCGTGGTGGTGCGCAGCTGTAATCCCAGCTACTCGGGAGTCTGAGGCAGGAGAATCGCTTGAACCTGGGAGGTGGAGGTTGCAATGAGCTGTGATCGCACCACTGCACTCCAGCCTGGGGGACAGAGTGAGACTCTGTCTCAAAAAAAAAAAAAAAACCTCTTAACATCACCCATCACATAAGGCACAGAACAATGTGTACTTTTTAATTATCATATACATAAATGCATACTGTTTTCATGCAGTATACATAATGTTTATGTATATAGTGTATACATGAATGTATTCAGGTATTTTGAGTGTCTGTATGTGGCATGCACCGTTCTAGGTGCTGAATATTCCATAGGTAAAAAGGGTTATTTAGCCCACATTTTTTTCGTTGTATGAAGAGAAATGGAAAAAACCAAACTTACATAGTTCGGTTTGAGCAAGTTAAATGCATGGATGATGTAATGTGGGAGCACTTTCCACTTTTCGTTGATGTTTGTGTAGGCAGAACTAGGGAGGTGGTTTTCCTTGGGAGTTTCAGCTGCCCACTGTACTCCTCCACTCTTGGCCACTGTGCCTCGCAGGTGCCTTACCTGACTGCCATGCTGTGTACTTTCATTTGGGCAGGCTTTGGGCTCCTTAAATTCAATATTGGCTCAAACCATCTTTCCCCCGCATCCGTACCCCATCCTGTGAACGGTAGTTTTCTACGTAGTCAGGTGGCTATGTCTCTTCTTTTCTTTTGAGATGGAGTCTCGTCCTGTTGCCCAGGCTGGAGTACAAGGGCACAATCTCAGCTCGCTGCAATCTCTGCCTCCCGGGTTCAAGCGATTCTCCTCCCTCAGCGTCCCAAGTAGCTGGGACTACAGGCACATGCCACCGCGCCCTGCTAATTTTTGTATTTTTGTAGAGACGGGGTTTCACCATGTTGGCCAGGCTGGTCTTGAACTCCTGACCTCTGATGATCTGCCCTTCTTGGCCTCCCAAAGTGCTGGGATTACAGGCGTGAGCCACTGCTCCCGGCCCTATCTCTTTTCTGCGCTAACCTTATCCTTCTAGTCTCCAGGACCTGTGGGATGGACCTTTCCATCTCTTGGAGGTTACCCCTGAGGCCCACTGACTCTCAGACCCGAACCCTTTGTCTTCACCGGGTTGACTCCCATGGCCCCTGTTCTGGAGCCTCTCTGCAGTATCTTATCCCTTTTTGCAGCAAGATCTTTCTTTCTTTCTTTTTTTTTTTTTTTTTTTTTGAGACAGGGTCTCACTTTATCACCCAGGTGGAGTGCAGTGGTGTGATCGGGCTCAAGCAATGCTCCTACCTCAGCCTTCTAAGAAGCTGGGACTACAGGTGTGCGCCACTATGGTTGGCTAATGTTTTTTCTGTGTGTGTATACACACATATATATACACATATATATACACATATACTATATATATACATATACACATATATGCACATACACACACACACACACACACACATACATATATGTAATTATTATTATTTTGTAGAGCAGGGGTCTTGCTATGTTGTCTAGGCTGGTCTCGAACTCTTGAGCTCAAGTGATTCGCCCACCTCAGCCTCCCAGAGTGCTGGGATTACAGGCGTGAGCCACCACGCCGGGCCAAGATCTTTCTAAAATGCATGTACAGCTGCCTTTCCTTTGCTCAGAACACTTGAGCTCTCCATTCCTCCTCGGGCTGAAGACTCCTGTGTCATCACATCCTGGCCCAGCGCCTCCCTGCTCTCCCAGTTGTGGATAGTTCCTCACTTGCAGACTCCTTTTTTTTGTACAACTTTGTAAATAAGCCGTTGTCTGAGATTAGGCCTTTCTTATCTTCTACTTGCCAACTTCATTCTAGCTACAACCAAGTAATTTGGTGCAGCTCTTTCAGCGATCCGGTTTTGCCCTGTGTATACTGATTCTCAAAAATGCCCATATTCTGATGCAGTGGTTTGACTTCAGCTAAGTTTTTTTTTTTTTAGTAGATACAGGAGTCTTTATGTTACCCAGGCTGGTCTCCAATCCTGGTCTCAAGTAATCCTCCTGCCTCAGCCTCCCAAAGTGTTGAGATTACAGGCATCAGCCACTACACCCGGCCTTTTTTTTTTGTTTTTTAAAAAATTTGTTTTTAGAGATGGGGTTTCACTCTGTTTCCTAGGCTGGAGCGCAGTGACACAATCACAGCTCACCGTATTCTCAGCCTCCCTAGCTCAGGCAGTCCTCCCACTTCAGCCTGTTGAGCAGCTGGGACCACGTGCATGTACCGCCACACCTGGCTAATTTTTTGTTTTATTTTTGTAAAGATGAGGTCTCCCTATGTGCCCCAGGCTGGTCTTGAACTCCTGGGCTCAAGTGATCCTCCTACTTGGCCTCCCAGAGTGCTGGGATTACATAATGATGTTGGCCCTAACAACTTGTATGGTTAGATTTTTAAATTCAGGCGTTTATAAGAGTTAAAGTCTAAGTGTGTATAGGTCCCACTGCGCTGGGGCTCAACATCTCTCACTTGCTCTCCAGCCATGCCTCATCTCACCTCTGCTTTTTTTTTTTTTTTTCTTTTTTGAGACGGAGTCTTGCTCTGTCGCCCAGGCTGGAGTGCAGTGGCACAATCTGGCTCACTGCAACCTCTGCCTCCTGGGTTCAAGCAGTTCTCTGCCTCAGCCTCCCAAGTAGCTAGGCTTACAGGTGCCGCCACCATGCCCGGCTAATTTTTGCATTTTTAGTAGAGATGGGGTTTCACCATCTTGGCCAGTCTGGTCTTGAACTCCTGGTGTTGTGATCTGCCCGCCTTGGCCTCCCAAAGTGCTGGGATTACAGGCATCAGCCACCGCGCCCGGCCTCCCCTCTGCTTTTTGTATCCCTTCGAGGCTCACAATTCCCAGAGCTCTCCTTCTTGGTGATAGAAAGTGGGGCCACTGCCTGAGGTGTGATTGCAGACCTCTCCTTTGACTCTTTCTCTGCAATTACTTGTTCCTGGGAGACCGTCAACCTCATGGTTTTAGTGTCCATGGTGTTCCCTGCTCAAATCACTTCTTCCTGGAAGTTGCAAAGAGGTGATTTTTCCAGCTGTCCGTCCGTGTACAGTGATGAACAGATATTCCTGTGTGAAGAAGAGTGTTCTCCTTTGTTCACTTTCCAGCTCTCTCAGTCACTGAGGACACTGCATATTAGAGTCAGGCGTCGTCATTACTCCTTGGATGCTCATATTGTCCCTTTCAGATTGGCTCCTGTGTCTTTTTGCCAAGACCCCATTAGTTCTTGAGTGCTTCATTGCTTTCTGGCACAGAAATTTGTCCCAGGCCTACTTTGTACTTTTCCTGCCTCAGATCTGAAATCATTCCTCTCAGGAGCCCTGGTTCCCTTTAGTGGGAAGTGGCATTTAGAAATCAGCATTTGGGGCTGGGTGTGGCCACTGTCACGGGGGTAGCATCTGGTTGTTTTTTTTTTTTTTTTTGGGGACGGAGTCTTGCTCTGTCGCCCAGGCTGGGGTGCAATGGCGCCATCTCAGCTCACTGCAAGCTCCGCCTCCCGGGTTCAAGCAATTCTCCTGCCTCACTCTCCCAAGTAGCTGGGATTACAGGCCCACACCACCATGCTTGGCTAATTTTTTTTTGTATTTTTAGTATTGATGGGGTTTCACCATGTTGGCCAGACTGGTTTTGAACTCCTGACCTCAGAACTCCACCTGTCTTGGCCTCCCAAAGTGCTGGGATTGCAGGCATGAGCCCCTGTGCCTGGCTGAAGGTAGCATCTTTTATGTCCTTTCATTGGACAGAGCTAGAAAAAAATGTTCATTAAAAAACCTCCAATTTCATACTGATTCTTTAAAATAAAAGTTTTTTCCCCTTATTTTATATTTACACAGCTTAAACTGATGATTTTGATTTCTAATAATATTAACATTGTTTTCCTTATCTATGATATTCATAAAATGGGTTCAGCATTTTAATACATTGTTCTTACAAACAACCCTTCGAATGAAGTTTAGGATTCCTTAGCAATTCTTTTGGCTTTAGAAATAAATACATCTTAAGAATATATAGTTAGAGTAATGGGTTTAAAACAATTTGTTGTAACATAACCAAAGTAATTACCAATTTGATAAACAGGTTCATTTGTTCCTATTTATTCTTAATTCAGAGTTTGCATTTTATAAACTTTTTAAGTAGCTGGGACTACAGGCATGCGCCACCACGCCCCAGCTTTTTAAGTGTTGGCATTACAGGCGTGGCTCACTGTGCCCAGCCAAGTTTATTCTTTTTCAAACCAGGTGTGGTGGCACACACCTGCAGTCCAAGCTACTTGAGAGGCTGAGGTGGGAGGATCGCTTGAGACCAGGAGTTGGAGGCCAGCCTGGTTAACATAGCAAGACCCTGTCTCTCAAAAACACATTTTTTTAAAAAGTTTATTATTTTTCAGCCAGGTGCAGTGGCTCACACTTGTAATCCCACACTTCGGGAGGCTGAGGCAGGTGCATCACTTGAGCCCAGGTGTTCAAGAGCAGCCTGGGCAACATGGTGAAACCCCATCTCTACAAAAAATAAAAAAAATTAGCCAGGCTTGGTGGTGCACATCTGTAGTCCCAGCTACTCAGGAGGCTGAGGCACGAGAATCGCTTGGGCCTGAGAGATGGAGGTTGCAGTGATCCAAGATCATACCACTGCACTCCAGCCTGGGTGATAGAGCAAAACCTTGTGTAAAAAAAAAAAGTTTATTATTTTTCAAACACACAAAACATTTACATGGTTCAAAAGACCAGAACTTTGTAAAAATGTAAACTCAGAAGTCTTGCACCTAGCCCTGTCGCACCCACCTCCGATAGGTGGGGTGAGGACGTGTCTGGTTTGCATGGAATAGTCCCGGTTTTTGCCTGTTATCCTGGAGCAATTAGTGACAGTGCCTTCTTTCACTCTCAGAAATGAAGCATAGCTAAGGCTTTGTTGGCGCCTGCTAATGCTAATTTAGAGATGTGGACAAAATGTTTCCACTTTGTGGATTTTTTTCCCCTGTAGCTAAAAGTAAGGGCTTGGCTGAATCCTGTAGACTTGGATTGAGGTTCTCTTGGCAGGGGAGGTCCAACCATGGAGTTCATACTCTTTTCACAGAGTCTCATTCTTATTCGGAGGAGGAAATTTCATTTTACTCTGAAAATTTGGGAGCTTGAAGCATATTGTACATTTCCAAGTTTTTCTGCTTTGCAAAGGGCCAATTATTCCTCCTGCCTATGTAGTTTTAAACCTTTGCCAGTACTAATATAAAAATTGATTTCAAGTAGTGACATGCTGAAGTTGTTGAATCATATAGAAAAGTTAAAGTTCTACTTGAGATGAATCAGTGTTTCTGAGCGATTGATCTCTTGAAATCTCTTTTTTTTGAGACAGTTTCACTCTTGTTGCCCAGGCTGGAATGTAGTGGCACAATCTTGGCTTACTGCAACCTCTGCCTACCAGGTTCAAATGGCTCTCCTGCTTCAGCCTCCCGAGTAGCTGGGATTACAGGCATATGCCACCACGCCTGGCTAATTTTGTATTTTTAGTAGAGACGGGGTTTCTCCTTGTTGGTCAGCCTGGTCTTGAACTCCCGACCTCAGGTTATCCACCAGCTCCCGGCCTCCCAAAGTGCTGGGATTACAGGCGTGAGCCACCACGCCCAGCCGATCTCTTGAAATCTTAAGGTGCTGTGAGGAAGCTAGTGCAGTCTCTTCCACCTTAAAAATAATTTGTGGGGGAAACATGAATGACAGCCGAGGTCATGGTATCCTACATACCCTTAAAGAGAGATGTGGCAGGATGAGATGATTTCGAATAGCCTGAGTATTAATTTGAATAGTGTGACGTGGTATTTCTTTTCATACAAATTAAAATCTAAAGAACTTCACTTGTGATTAAGTGTGAGATCCCATTGATGCAGAAAGGCTTAAAGAAATTCCAAGTAAAATTTTACTTAGCAGCCCTGTGGCTCAGCTCATTTTCCTCCACCATAGATGCTGAGGCGTTCACACTGGAGGGCGATCTCAGCAGACAGGCATTGTGCTCTTTGTGTTACCTGAAGGCACTTTACAAACAGGAATTCAGTGCATTGCCCTTCCTCTGTTTCTTTTTGTGATTGATGGAGATCTGCTGACTTAAATGAATAGTTTACTTATTTATTTATTTTTGAGACAGGGTCTCACTCTGTCATCCAGTCTGGAGTGCGGTGGCATGGTCACAGCTCACCACAGCCTCCACCTCTCTGGGCTCAGGTGATCCTCCCACCTCAGCCTCCCCAGTAGCTGGAACCACAGGCATGTGTCACCACGCCTGGCTAATTTTTTTTTTTTTTTTTTTTGAGACAGTCTTGCTCTGTCGCCCAGGCTGGAGTGTAGTGGTGCGATCTCGGCTCACGGCAACCTCCGCCTCCCATGTTCAAGCGATTCTCCTGCCTCAGCCTCCCGAGTAGCTGGGACTACAGGTGCGTGCCACCACACCTGGCTAATTTTTTGTATTTTTAGTAGAGACGGGGTTTCACCATGTTAGCCAGGATGGTCTGGATCTCCTGACCTTGTGATCCACCCACCTCTGCCTCCCAAAGTGCTAGGATTACAGGCGTGAGCCACCGCGCTTGGCCAGTCGCCTGGCTAATTTTTGTATTTTTTTGTAGAGACAGGGTTTCCCATGTTTCCCAGGCTGTTCTTGAACTCCTGGGCTCAAGTGACCCCCCTGCCTAGGCCTCCCAAAGTGCTGGAATCACACATGTGAGCCACCACACTCGGCCAGTGAATAGTTTAGAAGCAGGCCATGTGCGTCCTTTCTGCCTGCCTCTGTAGGTAGATTCCACTCCGCCTCCCCTGTGTGGATTCCCACATTGGAGCGCGGGCTGGGTGGGTGGCAAGGAGAGCAGTAGGTTTGTGTGGAGCATGGGCTTGGAGCCAGCTGGACTCGCATGTCCCCTTTCCCTTGTTACCTTTGTCACGTTCCCTCATCACTGAGCCTTCTGTTTCCTCACAGTAAATTAGAGATAATAATCATTTGGGTATTTTTTAGCAAATTCGTATTGTCTACTGTGTGTAAGGTACCGTCCAGGGGCTGGGTATATGGATGTTTGGGAGATAGAATGAGATCATAGTGAATGTTTATTGCCTCTAAGCCTCTTTATAGGAATGAGCCCCCACTGAAGCCTCGTGACAGTGCTATAAAGCAGGACACTGTTATGACCCCATTTTCTAGATGAAGAAATTGGAAACTCACTCAGGATCCCATAGATATTACATGGTAGAGGCTGTATTTGAATCCAAGCAGTCTGACTCCAGAGTTCTTCAACTGCATGAAAAAGTGGGCACAACAGTATCCTTCAGACCCCTCTGCCCCCTTATAGTATTACTGGAGTGCACACACTTATGGTTCTTTAACGGAGGGACTTGTCTCTCAGTTAGATCCCCTTCCACTCCTTGCACCTACTCCACCTTTGAGCATCCGGGGCAGCTGCTTGGGCTTCCCCTGCCTGGGATGGGAGCCTAGTCTGAGCAAGGTGCCTGCCCATGTGGCCTGCTGCCTGGTGCTATTCTGTCCCCAGTGTTGAGCGTAGCCTCTGGCACACAGTAGACACACACACAGTGATGCATCCTAGAATGATGAAATAATTTCCTAAACGGGATCTTTTAACGGTTACCTACCTGTTCTTCAGTGGCTCATCTAATTCTGTTCCTAGCTCTTCCACGTGGTTAATCCAAGGCATTCAAAGTTTCAGTTTTTTTCCCCTTCTTCATTGCTTTTTCCAGAAACTTTTTCACAGTGCAGAACAAGGGGATTTAAGTGTGCTATATGTTGGCTTCATAGCAAGTGTGTGACACTATTGTTTGGTTTCCCATCAATCAACTCTTGGCCCATCATAACGTTAAAATTTGCTAACCTGCAATTTCGTTGGTATTTTGATGATTACTTGAAACAAATCACTGGAACAATAGAGAAGCAAATAAAACCAATGGCTTTGAAACATAATAGAGTCGCGGTGGCAAGGCCAGTCCCCTACCCCACTGCCTTTGGCACGTGGTAGCTGCTGATTAGCAAAGTGTGAGAGCAGGTGGCTCAGGAGCCAGTGGCGTCTTCTGGTCTGCCATCACTTAATCTGCTGGAGCCTTGTGTTACTTCTCCACATATATAAACTGGGTGGACTGGGCCCTGTAGTTTAAAGCTTTCTGGAAGAAGCCAGTCTCCGAAGGGTCTTTTTCCATAGGTAAAACCATGCAGAGTGGCTCAGGGCAAAGTCAGCTGCCCTGGGGAGCCATTTGCTGAGACCCTCAGCCTCTGCTTTACCCTGCCCTCGAAGGGGTCCTAGGAAGACAGTTGGAAAGCCCTAGGACTAGCGATTGGATCCCTTTCAGCTCTCTGATTCTTTAAATACTCTGTAGTTCCTGCACAGTTCTCTCTCTCTCTCTTTTTTTTTTTTTTTTTGACAGGGTCTTCCTGTGTCGCCCAGGCTGGAGTGCAGTGAGATCAAGGCTCACTGCAGCCTCGACTTCCTGGGCTCGAGCA
The DNA here is from genome assembly GCF_000001405.40 of Homo sapiens. NCBI lineage: Eukaryota > Metazoa > Chordata > Mammalia > Primates > Hominidae > Homo > Homo sapiens. The sequence continues at coordinate 49,862 of NW_021160005.1, forward strand.
ATCCTCCCATCTCAGCCTCTCGAGTAGCTGGGACCATTGGTGTGCAGTGCACCACCATGCCCAGCTGAGTTTTGTATTTTTTGTAGACACAGGGTTTCGCCATGTTTCCCAGGCTGGTCTCAAACTCTTGGCCTCAAGTGATCCTTCTACCTCGGCCTCCCAAAGTGCTGGGATGACAGGTGCGAGCCACTGCACCTGGCCTGCACAGTTCTTTTGTTGCAAATTGTAGAGAAAGGTAAACTTTGATTCCAGTATTCACCTGCAGAAGACCTGAGTGAACGTTTGGAGATGGCGAGGTGATGGAAGTTGGCGAGGGTCAAAGGAGAGGAACACTGGGAAGGAAATCCAGTGTTTCTGCTGAAGGGATATGCCCACGTCCTTTAGACATGGGACAGAAAGCAGGATTTTGGTGTCTTTGAATGGGGGATGTAAATCCTACCTTGAGTGTAACGAGGCTTTGTGACAAAGGCAAAAAGTCAAAAGGGAAATGGTGAGAATTTTCTTTCTTTTTTTTTTTTTAATTTTTATTTTTATTGATCATTCTTGGGTGTTTCTCACAGAGAGGGATTTGGCAGGGTCATAGGACAATAGTGGAAGGAAGGTCAGCAGATAAACAAGTGAACAAAGGTCTCTGGTTTTCCTAGGCAGAGGTCCCTGTGGCCTTCCGCAGTGTTTGTGTCCCTGGGTACTTGAGATTAGGGAGTGGTGATGACTCTTAACGAGCATGCTGCCTTCAAGCATCTGTTTAACAAAGCACATCTTGCACTGCCCTTAATCCATTTAACCCTGAGTGGACACAGCACATGTTTCAGAGAGCACAGGGTTGGGGGGTAAGGTCACAGATCAACAGGATCCCAAGGCAGAAGAATTTTTCTTAGTACAGAACAAAATGACAAGTCTCCCATGTCTACTTCTTTCCACACAGACATGGCAACCATCCGATTTCTCAATCTTTTCCCCGCCTTTCCCCGCTTTCTATTCCACAAAACCGCCATTGTCATCCTGGCCCGTTCTCAATGAGCTGTTGGGTACACCTCCCAGACGGGGTGGTGGCCGGGCAGAGGGGCTCCTTACTTCCCAGTAGGGGCGGCCGGGCAGAGGCGCTCCTCACCTCCTGGGTGGGGCGGCTGGCCGGGCGGGGGGCTGACCCCCCCACCTCCCTCCCGGACGGGGTGGCTGGCCGGGCGAGGGGCTGACCCCCCCACCTCCCTCCCGGACGGGGTGGCTGGCCGGGCGAGGGGCTGACCCCCCCACCTCCCTCCCGGATGGGGCGGCTGGCTGGGCGGGGGGCTGACCCCCCCCACCTCCCTCCCGGATGGGGCGGCTGGCCGGGCGGGGGGCTGACCCCCCCATCTCCCTCCCGGATGAGGTGGCTGGCCGGGCACAGGGGCTCCTCACTTCCCAGTAGGGGCAGCCGGGCAGAGGCGCCCCTCACCTCCTGGACGGGGCGGCTGGCCGGGTGGGGGGGCTGACCCCCCCCACCTCCCTCCCGGACGGGGCGGCTGGCCGGGCGGGGGGCTGACCCCCCCACCTCCCTCCCGGATGGAGCGGCTGGCTGGGCAGAGGGGCTCCTCACTTCCCAGTAGGGGCGGCCGGGCAGAGGTGCCCCTCACCTCCCGGACGGGGCGGCTGGCCGGGCCGGGGGCTGACCCCCCCCACCTCCCTCCCGGACGGGGCGGCTGGCCGGGCAGGGGGCTGACCCCCCCACCTCCCTCCCAGACGGGACGGCTGGCCTGGCGGGCTGACCCCCACCTCCCTCCTGGACGGGGCGGCTGCTGGGCGGAGACGCTCCTCACTTCCCAGACGGGGTGGCTGCTGGGCGGAGGGGCTCCTCACTTCTCAGACGGGGCGGCTGCCGGGCGGAGGGTCTCCTCACTTCTCAGACGGGGCGGTTGCCAGGCGGAGGGTCTCCTCCCTTCTCAGATGGGGCGGCTGGGCAGAGACGCTCCTCACCTCCCAGACGGGGTCGCGACCGGGCAGAGGCGCTCCTCACATCCCAGACGGGGCGTCGGGGCAAAGGCACTCCCCACATCTCAGACGATGGGCGGCTGGGCAGAGACGCTCCTCACTTCCTAGATGGGATGGCAGCCGGGAAGAGGTGCTCCTCACTTCCTAGATGGGATGGCGGCCAGGCAGAGACGCTCCTCACTTTCCAGACTCGGCAGCCAGGCAGAGGGGCTCCTAACATCCCAGACGATGGGCGGCCAGGCAGAGACGCTCCTCACTTCCTAGACGGGGTGGCGGCCGGGCAGAGGCTGCACTCTGGGCACTTTGGGAGGCCAAGGCAGGCAGCTGGGAGGTGGAGGTTGTAGCGAGCCGAGATCACGCCACTGCACTCCAGCCTGGGCACCATTGAGCACTGAGTGAACCAGACACTGTCTGCAATCCCAGCACCTCTGGAGGCCGAGGCTGGCGGACCACTCGCGGTTAGGAGCTGGAGGCCAGCCCGGCCAACACAGCGAAACCCCGTCTCCACCAAAAAAATACGAAAACCAGTCAGGCGTGGCGGTGCGCGCCTGCAATCGCAGGCACTCGGCAGGCTGAGGCAGGAGAATCAGGCAGGGAGGTTGCAGTGAGCCGAGATGGCAGCAGTACAGTCCAGCTTCGGCTCAGCATCAGAGGGAGACCGTGGAAAGAGAGGGAGAGGGAGACCGTGGGGAGCGGGAGACCATGGGGAGAGGGAGAGGAGGGAGAGGGAGAGGGAGAGAGGGAGGGAGGGAGGGGGAGGGAGGGAGAGGGAGAGGAGAATTTTCTTTATCACATTTGTTTCTTTGCTTATGGAGAGGATTGCTTGTTAATGTGGTGTGATATTGAGGTTGTGTGTAAGAGCATGGCCTCTGGGTCTGCGCTGTCCCCTTAGCTCTCCGCTGCTCACTGTGAGACGTGCCTCACAGACTCGTGGTGAAGATAGTTAATTCATGACGCTCTCAGAAGAGAGCCTGGTATTTAATAAGCATTCAATAAATGTTAGTCATTCTTCTGATAGTCATTATTGAATGGGCTAAAGAAGTTTGGTTTTGGCAAAGAATGCTTTTCCCTGTAATTCCCAAAGTTAATTGTGATCAATAGAAAACAAAACCAGAGAGGCCGGGCACGGTGGCTCACGCTTCAGGCTCCCAGCACTTTGGGAGGCTGAGGTGGAAGGATCACTTGAGGCCAGGAGTTCGAGACCAGCCTGAGCAACATAGCAGGACCCTACTTTTACAAAAAATCAAAAAGTTATTTGGGCGTGGTGGTGCGTGCTTGTAGTCCCAGCTACTCAGGAGGCTGAGGCGAGCGGATCGCCTGAACCTAGCAGGTTAAGACTGCAGTGAGCTATGATCATACCACTGTACTCCAGCCTGGGTGACAGCAAGACTTGTCTCTAAAATGAAAAAAAAAGAAAAAATGAAAAAAGATGTAAACAATATGGAAACATATGGTGTCCACAGTAACAGTCTCTCCTTGTACTCAGTGTGTCCACAGTGGGTGTATTGTCTGAAGGGTGCATTCATGTGTGAGAAGAATGGATGAAATTCAAAATTACTCATATTCAAAATATGAGTAATGGGTAAAATAAGCCTGCTAAGTCAAAGGGCTTGTTACACACTACCTGTGTGATCTGCACAGAAAAATTATTGTAAGGATTCTGACTGGGTCACAGTGTCTCTGGGAAGGTGGAGAACCAGGTTTGGAGGACACTGGTTAGCCAGGCCCTGCTAGCCGGGCCCCATTTCCCCGTAATGTCTGTGCTCCGAGGTTGTCACCAGCAGATGCAGGAGAGGCTGGGAGAGCAAGTTTCTGGTGCTTTCAGCCCCTCGTCTGGGCCACTTGCTTTTCCTCAAGAGTGGACCATTTCCCATCCATAGGAAGAGGCTCAGATGCTGGGTGGCCAGCATGCCTGACAAATGGCAACAGCATGATAAAACCCTTGACAGCTGTGCCTCGAGATCTGAAGAGAGCAGTTTCGCATTCGCTTACATGGTGGTGGTAATGCTCCTTCCCTCTAGAATTATCAGGAAAAAATGCCATGTGATTCTCTCCTCTCTGCTCTGACTTTCCTCTAGAAAGAAAAAAGAACACATATTGAATGAAAATCCAAATCAGATGTTTGGGTTTCCTTCCTTCCGTCAACTTTTCTGTTATATCACTGCCCATGTTACTTTTATTCCTGTTCCTGATTATTCCATTTCAAGGAGAAAGGTTCATAAACAAGAAATATTGCCTTTTTGGTTGTGTGTAGTGGGGTGCTGAGCTGAGTGGTAGAAGGCCTATGCAGGAGGCAGTAGTGGGTGGGTAGAATAAAGGTTTTACATCGGAAAGAATCTACATTCCAAGGTTGTTTTCTTGTGCAAACCATAGAAATACTTGTTCCTGAAACAGTTTGATGATGAATTAGGAGACTGCTTAAAAGCACATTCCTGTAGATAGGGTCTGGGTGCTTTTCACAAACCCATGAATGCCTGGCACTTTCTTTTTTGTGTTCCCCAAACTATTTTTACTATAAATGGTTGTTATTAAAAGGCCCAGGTGCTGCCAGGAAGTGACATTTTCTAGAGTGTACCTAGAAGTGTTCATCCCAGAACCTGTTCATTAAAAGACTTCCAGGCTGATCTGTCCCACGGTGCTGGCCTGAAAACATCAGCTGCTGCTCAGAGGGCTTCCCTGGGCTCGGGGAAGAGCTTCCCTGCCTCCCCACCTTAGAGTGCTGGTTCTCCTGTGCTGTGACTCACTATGGGGATTGCTGTTACATTCATCTTTACGATTCTCTTAGAAGTTTACAGTGATACTGCATAAAGAGATACGGACACTTACCATAGTAAGTTACAGTCACTTTTTAAACTGTCAGTAATTTAGAGGGTAAGTGTCTAGATACAGTTATTCTGTCATCATTGAACAATTTTACCATGCCTTTTTATTTAAAGGAACATGTTCTGGGCCGGGCACAGTGGCTCACACCTGTAATCCCAGCACTTTGGGAGGCTGAGGCAGGCGGATCACTTGAGCTCAGGAGTTTGAGACCAGCCTGGGCAACATGGCAAAACCCCGTCTCTACTAAAAACACAAAAATTAGCCAAGCGTGGTGGTGCACACCTGTAGTTCCAGCTATTTGGGAGGCTGAGACAAGAGGATCACTTGAGCCTGGTAGGTTGAGGCTGCAGTGAGCCAAGATTGCACCACTGCACTCCAGCCTGGGCAACAGAGTGAGTCTCCGTCTCAAAAGAAAAGAAAGAAACAGGTTCTGGGTAGGCCTTTTGTTAGCTGCAGCTTTAGAATAAAATGGTTTTCTTTTTCTTACAGGGGTCAGACACCATAGGATAAAATGTTAATACCGTGCTTCTGCTGACATCTCTCTGTTTACTACTCAACACTGGCAGGCATTAGGGATTTCTTTTCATGTTAGGTAAACCCCTGTGAAAAGAATCAAGGGAAAGGTAGCACTTGCTATCCACAAAGATACTGTTCTCGGACAGTTACTTTCATCTGAACAAACCCTCTCCTCGGCCCCTCCAGCAGCCTTTATCGTGGGGTCTTCTTCCCTTCTGGATGCTCCGGGGACCTCAGCCCTGTGTTTTGTGATTGTTTCAGACGTGTCCATTGGGTGTCCTGCTGTCTCTCCTGCCAGAACTGTGCTCTCCTTCCCTTCCAAGTCAGCATTGCCCTCTGCCTCTCATCCAAGCTTCGCTCTTGGCCCCTCTGCTCCCCTGCTGCCACTCAGAGGCTCTGTCAGGGGTTTCTTTCCTGATCCCCCTGATACACACTCGCCTTTGATGTTCTCGTCTCAGAGCCGGGACCTCGGTGCCTGTGGTCCAGGCTGTGCTTCTGCACTCTCCCTTTGGAGTCCACCCAGCACACTTGCCACAGCCACCAGCCTAACCTCAGCCATCGCTTTGGGAGGGTTTGTTCAGTGTCTGTCTAGGCGCAGGAACAGAATCTCGACTTGCTTAGCCCGGCTACCGACTCCGTGTTTTGGCTCCCTCCACCTACCCCACAGATCTCCCTCCATCAGTGCCAGCCATGCCCTCTGCCCCTTCCACCCGCCCCACAGATCTCCCTCCATCAGTGCCAGCCATGCCCTCTGCCCCTTCCACCCGCCCCACAGATCTCCCTCCATCACTGCCAGCCATGCCCTCTGCCCCTTCCCATAGGCCTGGACTCCCTTCTCCTGAGATGTCCCGCAGACTCCTCTTCATTACCATGCGCCCCTCAAAGCCAAAGTCAAGCCTGCATGGTTTCTTCTCACTCCTCATAGGTGCTTTTTCTCCGCCAGTTCCTACTGGGATTCAGGGGCTTGGGGCTGATTTTACTATTTATTCCTTTTATGTTTACTCAAGCTTTTATTTTTTTAATTTTTATTTATTTATTTTGAGACGGAGTCTTTCTCCATCATGCAGGCTGGAGTACAGTGGCCCGATCTGGGCTCACTGCAGCCTCCGTCTCCTGGGTTCAAGCACTTCTCCTGCCTCAGCCTCTCAGTATCTGGGACTATAAGCATGTGCCACCATGCCCACCTAATTTTTTTTTTTTTTTTTGAGATGGAGTCTCGCTCTGTCGCCCAGGCTGGAGTGCAGTGGCGTGATCTCGGCCCTCTGCCAGCTCCCCTCCTGGTTTCATGCCATTCTCCTGCCTCAGCCTCCCAAGTAGCTGGGACTACAGGCGCCCGCCACCACGCCCAGCTAATTTTATGTATTTTTAGTAGAGACAGGGTTTCACCATGTTGGCCAGGATGGTCTCGATCTCCTGATCTTGTGATCCGCCCGCCTTGGCCTCCCAAAGTGCTGGGATTACAGGCATGAGCCACCGCGCCCGGCCTACTCCAACTTTTAAAATGCTACCGGCTTTAAGAAAAACACAGATGAAATATTAGGATCAAGATAAGCCATGAGGGGGCAAAAGAAACCACCAAAAGATACCCTGGGAGGTGAGGCCAGCATGATTCTCTCCATTTAAGGTCATGGGTTTACTGTGTAAACAGGCCCTTCATTTTTACTAACTGCTGCAATGGCAGTCTGTTGTTTTCTGCCCAGTCACTCCTTGTTCCCTCTCGCCTACATACCTGTTAGAAGTTTTGGGTCCTCTGCGTACCAATTTTCTGATCTTGGCCAAGATAGTTCACCTCTAAGACTGTTTTGCCATCTATAAAATCTGTAAAATAGAGATACTACTTATTACCCAATAAGTAGACTTGATGAGAACTAACATAAAGTATCTACCATGCTAGCCTGCACAAAGTAGACATTCATTTGATGTGAGGCATGTCTCTGCAAACCACTCAACACAGCCCCCAACACAGGGAAGATGGAGAGAACTCAGCTTCCCTGCGCACTTGGTTTTGGTCCTCACCATGGTATCTTCCCCTGAAGATAACATCTGCATTGGGCTGCGAGTCCCAAGCCACTTACTAGCTGAGTGACCTTTGTACCTCTCTAATCTGCCTGGGTCTGTATTCTAATTTGTAAAATAAGGTAATTATGAGTGCCTTACTGGGTTGCTGAGAGTAAAATGTGATAAAATATATGAAAGTATTTTGAAAATCATAAGGCATTAGACAAATATAGTTATTGCAGTTTACATCTTTTGAGTACCTAGCATATAGCACCTTAGAAATATTTTTTTGTTCAGGAAAGTGCTTGAATTAATAGGGGTACTTGTTCTTAAGCTTATATGTCTATTTAGTAAGCTTAATAGAACCACAGAGAGGAAATTCTTAATAAAGGACCTTCGTTTACAGTTGTGTATCTGAATCTTTGGCTCATTTTGAGATGCCTTCTTGTTAAAGTAGAGGGTGAAACCATTCATAGAGCTCTCGTCAGACTGCTTTGCCAGACGCAGTACGCAGCACATGAATGTTTCACGGGACCACCGTGCAGTAATGTGAGCTGTCAGTATTACTCAGTTAATTCCATATGCAGTGACCGTGTGAACATGGCTGCTTTGCTCGGTTCCTTGTTGTGGCTTGGGGTTTTAACAGTGATGGGCACAGCCTTTCAGCTGGGAAGCATGGAGTCTAAGTGGACTCACGAAAGTGCAGTGAAGCGGTGGCTGTGCAGTGGCACAGTAGACAGAATCCAGCATAGCACAGGAAAGGAGCTGGCCAGGTTGCCCTCAGGGGCCAGAAGAGCCTTCCCAGAGGAGGGGGAATGGTTGAACTGAGGGTTGTGAGGTCCCATTCAGCATCAAGGGGATCGTGGGGATGGCAGCAGTGGGAAGAGAGGCTCGATTGGAGGAGGGAGCAGCCAGCAGCTTCGTAGGGTGGGGCAGCCACACTGGTCCTTAGAGGGGATGCTTCCCCAGGGAGCAGTGGGAGAAGGGTGGCTGACCAGGAAACAGGAAAGGCATGGAGGGCTGTGAGCTCACAGGAAGGTGGCTATCCAGGGCTGGAGTGCATTCTCTGAGAGCCTCGTGGGAGGATGGAGATGGGCAGTGGAGTCTGGGCGGGCAGAGGGAGCACACTGCGGCAACAGAGCTGTGAGCTGGAGACAGGGCACTTGAGACGCTTCCTTGGTTGACAATAAACCCTTTCTTTTTATCATTTCTGCCAGTCAGTTATGTCGTTTTCTGGTAGGCAATGTCATGCTTGTTAAGAAAACTGCATGAGACAGAATCAAAAGCTTTAACAAGTCCATTTATATTTATACATTCAGCCTTAGCTGTATGGTCTCGAACACTAGAGTGTTGTGTTTTCTTGACTCATCAGCAGAATATCAGGAATGTAAATGTAAATGTAGCCGTAGATACTCTCAACACCATTTTTTTTTTTTTTTTTTTTAAAGACATGTGATCCCAGTATGTTGCCCAGGCTGATCTTGAACTCCTGGGCTCAAGCAATCCTCCTGCCTCGGTGTCCCAAGTAGCTGGGACTACATTTGTGCCACCACACCACAGGAAGAAATCCCTAATAAGGCGTCTTTCAGTTACAGCTTTATACGTAGACCTTTGATTCCTCTGAGATACCTGTTTATTAAATTAGCAAACTTCCCAATTTTGACCTGACATCTCTAAGACCATGTCACAGGCTGAAAGGAAAGTGGCAGCCCAGTTTTCCTTGGTCTTGCGTATGCTGAGGCTTGAGTTTTCAGTTGTGGTCTCCCATGTCTGTTAAAACACTGGCCAGCGTTCTCAGTTGGCGTACCTTGCATTCTTTCAGCATTGCACTGTGGTTCTAGACCCCGGTCTGACGCAGTGTCGGGCAGCCCTACCGCGTGTTCGAGTGCTGCTCTTCGGTAGCACTTGGTCTAGCAGAATATACCGAGTCCTGTCTGCAGAACCTTGACAAGTCTTGGAAAGCGGTCTCAGAATGCTTACTCACACACATCTGGGACATTTCCAATTTAATAAATGTCACGGAAAAAGTTTGGCAGATTGTTTAATTACATGTAAAAGCTGCTTGTGGCTTTCCTTGCTAATATGAGCCTGAAAAATGCTAACTACAATTGTTATGAAATCAGGGAAAGCTTGTGCATACCCTAAGGTTTTTCTGGAGAATTGCTTACCTGTGAACTCTAAAGCCATTCCTGAGCGGTGCCAAGTGTGATATTGTAGCATAAGAAGAGATGTACATTTGGTCTGTGCCCTGGCCCCTGGCACAGAGCTTCTCAAGCTCCTGGACTCTCTGGAGTACTGAGAGTGTCCTTATGTGCTGATCAGGTGACTGGTGACTGGCTACCCCCTAGGTAGCCTCAAGGTAAGGACTGGTAACTGGAGGCCTGGCACGGTGGCTCATGCCTATAATCCCAGCACTCTGGGAGGCTGAGGCAGGCGGATCACTTGAGGTCAGGAGTTCAGGAGCAGCCTGGCCAACATGGTGAAACCCCGTCTCTACTAAAAATACAAAAATTAGCCAGGCGTGGTGGTGTGTGCCTGTAATCCCAGCTACTCCGGAGGCTGAGGCAGGAGAATCACTTGAACCCAGGAGGCGGAGGTTGCGGTGAGCTGAGATCGCGCCACTGCACTCCAGCCTGGGAGATAGCGAGACTTCGTCTCAAAAAAAGAAAAGACAAAAAAAAAAGAAAAAAGGAGTGGTCACTGGAAAGACCTAGGCAGGATTAGAGGGTTAGGACTTTGAGCTCCATGCCCTAGCTTCTGTTTGAAGGTTGGGTTATCCAGTGGCCAATGATGTTAATCAGTCATGCCTATGTAACAAAGCCTAAAACCCTAAAAGGATAGGATTCTGGGGGCTCTGGGTTCCTGAACATGTAGCAGTTTCTGGAGGGTAGTGCCCTCAGAGGGCATGGAAGCTCTGCACCCCTTCCCACATACTTTGCCCTGTGCATCTCTCCTTCTGCTGTTCACCTGGGTCCTTTGTGATAGCCTTTAAAAAAAAAAAAATTAGAGATGGGATCTCACTATGTTGCCCAGGCTGGTCTCAAATTCCTGGCCTTAAGCAGCCCTCCCGTCTTAGCCTCCCAAAGTGCTGGGATTACAGATGTGAGCCAACATGCTCAGCCTGTGATATCCTTTATAATACATGGGTAAATGTAAGTAAAGTGCTCCTCTGAGTTCTGTGAGCTGCTGCAGCAAATTTAATTGAACCCGAGAAGGGTATCATGGGAACCCTGATTCATAGCTGGTTGGTCAGAAGCACAGGTCACAACCTGGGACTTGTACTTGGCACCTGCAAAGGACTGGGGGAGTGGTCTTGTGGGACTGAGCCTTACCCTGTGGGATTGATACACTCTCCAGCTGGACAGTGCAGAATTGCATGGAATTAGAGGCACACAGCTGCAGAACTGCATGGAATTAGAGGCACACAGCGGCAGAATTGCTTTACACCCCCGACATCTGGTGTCAGCAGTGGTGGTGTGTGTGGAAGTAGGGAAAACACTTTGATTTTTCCTATCCTCATTAGCCAGGGAGGTCAGCACCCCCTCATTTTACTAGAGAAGTGGGGATGTTAATCAAGTGCCCTGCCCTTCTCAAGTTCAAGGTGCCTGAGACACTGGCACCCCTCCTGTCACCTGCATATATTTACTTCATGTTTTGATTGTCCCATCACTGCCAGCATCACCAGGCATGACCACCGTGTTCCAGAGCATGGTGGCAGTTTGTGAGTGACAGAGTGGCAGCCAGTGGCCTAGTGTCCCGCAGGCAGAGCAGACTCTTTGTTTCTCCAAGGCAAGGATGTGGCAGTGCCACCAAATGGTCGTGTCAATTGATGCCCAAATGGCTCACCAAAAGCTGAGTGACAGTTGCCACAGCAAAAAAAGGGGAGAAAACATAGGTTCAGAATTTCTTGGAAATGTTTGAAATGCATGTGATAGAACTCTAGGTGGGAAATTGGCTTGTTAGATACAGTAACTTAGCATGCAACTAGAGTAAACAGTTTGACCTACCAACCCACCGACTCATCTGTTTATTTTACTTCTTTTTTTTTGAGACAAGGTCTCACTCTGGCCAAGCTGGAGTGCAATGGCATGATCACGGCTCCTGCAGCCTCGACCTCCTGGGCTTAAGCGATCCTCTCACCACAGCCTCCTAAGTAACTGGGACTGCAGAGGCACACCACCACGCCTGGCTATTTTTTTAATTTTTGTAGAGATGGGTTTTCACCCTGCTGCCTGGGCTGGTCTCGAACTCCTGAGGTCAAGCAGTCTGCCTGCCTCAGCTCCCAAAGTGTTGGGATTGCAGACGTGAGCCCCTGAGGCTGGCCCCATTTGTTTGTTCTAATAAAAATGTAGGACTGAATTTGACTCACAGTTGACTAATTTACATTCTAAAGTGGCCAGAAAACTTCTATTGGTAGTTTCCTTCATAGGAAAATTGGGAGGTTCTCACTCAAAATTGGCTTATATTTGGGCATATGTTAGGATACATGTAATGTTTAAGTAAAAGTAATACTTTGAATATCAAGCTAACTAGTGATAAGTTTATGGTTATTTATACTGTTAGGTAATAGGGTATTTTAATCTACCCCTTATTGCCATGGGGAGGTTTAAAAAAGCAAAATTCAAAACGGAGAAATTGTGCTGACATTTGAACAAAATAAATGGATTATTTTTCAAGTAATGTTTTGTTTTTAGAAATAGTAAGGCAGCCCTCATTTTGCATGGTGGTACTGTGGGACTAGAAAAATGGCCTTTTGGGGCAAACTGGTGCAAAGTGACCTTTTTCTTTTGGAGTAAAACATGCACGCACACATGCACGCTTACTTGCGAAGCAATCTTAATCGTCAATGGAGAAATGGATTGCTTGTGATCTTTAATTTTTTTTTTTGTTAAGGCACAAAAATCTCTTACTGTAAATTGTAAACGTATAGGGGAGTGACAAGCAGTAAAACATTGATTAAATACACTGTAATTTATAACATTAAAAACATTGATAGTTAAAGTACGTAACCCTTTGACGCAGCAGGTTCATTTCTAAGTGGATAGCTTAGAGCAATCTGGTGTCTCCTTTTAATAGTATTTTAAATTATAATTTTTATCATAAAATGACATTCATAAAAAAACCCTACCTAAACACATAATTTTAGAAAAATCAATACAATGCCTCAATTGTGATGTAAAATAAATAAGGGGAAATTAGTTTACAGTAAAATGTTTTGTTGTATAAATGCTTGGGCATGACAACCCTAGAAGGCATAAGGCCCGATGTGTGTACTTTCTGATAACGAATGTTTGGCTTTAAGAGAAGATTGTCAGAAGCTATTACAAAGAAGAATATAGCAACACAAAAGAAGAGGTGACTCTGCTGGATAAAAATGTGTTAGGATAGGTAAAAGCAGACCAGTCATTTATACGTAATAAGAGAAAAGGTAAATAATGAAGTTAGAGATAACATGCCATTCATATTATAGATTGTCACCTGGAGAAAATGAGGAAGTATTATAATCTCACAAAAAAACCCCTGAGCCTTCTTTGTTTCCAGTGAAACGTCAGAATCCTTCCCTGGGTCATGACAGACTCAGAGGAGCAACAGGGTATCACAGAAAACATATTGCTTCCCACCTCTCCCAGCAGATGGCCAGACATGCACCCAGTTGAGTACATGAAGAGATTTTGGAGATTCCTGTATGATAGGCAATGGCGAATGGAGAATGGATCTGAAAAAAGGGAAAATTAACCTCAAGGTTTAATAACACACCAGGGTGGTAAGCCACAAGGAAACAAGCATTTTATTATGTTGCTGGCCTACTGGGGATAATTTCGCAGTATCTTTTAAATTACAAATTCCCTTTGACCCAGAAATTCTAAGGTTTTATCTTACTGGTATAGATGCACAGGTATAGAATGATGTATTTACAAGGTTATTCATTGCCATATTATTTGTAATCGCAAAAGATTGGAAGCAGGAACATAAACCTCATCAGTAGTTGAACAGTTAAATTATGATTCATATTCTTTGTATGCCAGGAAGCTGTAAAAAGGGAGGAGGATGTTATGCACCGATATGGAAATATCCTTAACTGAAGAAAAGCAAGGGCGAAAGAATAGATTTGCTCATATATGCATTAAAAAATCTCTAGATAAACAGGAAAGGCACAACTTTAGTTACCTACTGTGTGGAAGAGTGAACAGGGCTGAAAGGGAGATTTCTCTATATACACCTTTATTACTGATCCAAAAAAATTAAGTACTTTTTCTAAAGGTGTGTGTAAAAAAAAAGAAAGAAAAAGGTCTGTTAGGCTGGGTGTGATCGCCCCTGTAGTCCTAGCACTTTGGGAAGCCATGGCAGGAGGATCCCTTGAGCCAGGAGTTCAAGACCAACCTGGGCAACATAGACAGACCTTACCTCTACAAAAAAAATTTTTTTTTAAATTAGCTGGGCATGATGGTGTGCACCTGTGGTCCCAGCTACTTAGGAGGCTGAAGTGGGAGGATTGGTTGAGTATGGGTGTTCAGGGCTCCAGTGAGCCATGGTTACAGCACGGCACTCCAGCCTGGGAAACAGAACAAGACTTTGTCTCCAAAAGCAAAGAAAAAAGCTCTGTCCTAATCCCCTTTCCTTTGCTGCTGCTACCACTGTTTTTAAACCTTGTTAGGGCCAAAATGTATTTAGAAATATGGGTTATACACTGACCTTAGTGATGGCTTATTTATTTATTTTGAGATGGAGTTTTGCTCTTGTTGCCTAGGCTGGAGTGCAATGGTGCGATCTCGGCTCACCGCAACCTTCGCCTCCTGGGATCAAGCGATTCTCCTCTGTCAGCCTCCTGAGTAGCTGGGATTACAGGCATGTGCCGCCACGGCCAGCTAATTTTGTATTTTTAGCAGAGACGGGGTTTCTCCATGTTGGTCAGGCTGGTCTCAAACTCCCGACCTCAAGTGATCTGCCTACCTTAGCCTCCCAAAGTGCTGGGATTACAGGTGTGAGCCACCACGCCTGGCCAGTGATGGCTTTAGACTGTCAAGTTCAAACAGGCATTTTCTGATTTCATGCTTTGAAGACAGTTTATGATTCATTGATTTTTTGGCACATGCATAGGTCTATTAAATATTTGAAATTGAAAAATATTTTATATTCCTGTAAGCATGATCAATGCCAAAAGTCACATACTTGCTCTATTGGGAACTTTGAAAAATACTATAAATATAAACTGGATGTCATATGTTTGTATTTTGTTATTTTCTAGTGTTTTAAATGTATCCGAAACTCTTAAGTGAATATTCTTTTAAAAAATTGATCGCAGAGGCTGGGCGCAGTGGCTCATGCCTGTAATCCCAGCATTTTGGGAGGTCAAGGTGGGAGGTTTGCTTGAGGCCAGGAGTTCAAGACCAGTCTGGGCAACATAACATCTCTTAAAAAAACAAAACAAAACAAAACAAAAAAACCCAACTTGAACATTGTGGTGCACGTCTGTAGTCCTAGCTACTTGGGAGGCTGAACCTAGGAGTTGGAGGCTGCAGTGAGCTATGATTGTGCCACTTCACTTCAGTCTGGGTGACAGGGCGAGACTCTCTCGAAGAGATAAACAAATGTAAGAATAAAAAGGTGATTGTAGAAGGCTTTCATTTCTGTTGGAATCAAGGGTTTCTGCCCTTTATTTATTTTTATTTTGTTGGTTTGATTCTGCCCCTCCCCTCAGGCTGTTTAAACATGTTAATTAGAATGTATTTTCTTTGGGTTTTTTTTTACTAATATATACTTGAATTCTGAAGTATATGAAATATACATTCTCAGTAATATTTCAGGTTGTTTTGAAACATACATGCTAACTTTTTTTTTTTTGAAATGGAGTCTTGCTCTGTCACCCAGGCTGGAGTGCAGTGGCGCGATCTCTGCCGACCGCAACCTCCGCCTCTCGGGTTCAAGCGATTCTCCTGCCTCAGCCTCCCGAGTAGCTGGGATTACAGGCATGTGCCACCACACCTGGCTAATTTGTATTTTTAGTAGAGACGGGGGTTTCTCCATGTCAGTCAAGCTGGTCTCGAACTTGCGACCTCAGGTGATCTGCCCGCCTTGGCCTCCCAAAGTGCTGGGTTTACAGGCATGAGCCACCATGCCTGGCTGCTAATATTTTTAATTGTCTTGCTTGCTTATTCTATGCAATTATATGTGTTTAAGTATTGAAATGCTAACAACAACCAAAGATAGTTTGGTTTGCTCTTAGCAGAATGATAAAAGTACAGGAAGCAAAACTTAGAAACTCCCATGAAAAAATCCCAGTTTTGCCTAAAAAAAAAAAAGTTTTCCAAAAAATAAAAAGGAATAAAAAGGAGTGGAGCTACCATATGCTACAACATGTCCGACCCTTGAAAATACTATGCCAAGTGAAAGAAGCCAGGCACAAAAAGCCACATAGTGTATGATTCCATTCCTGTGAAATGTCCGAAACAGGCAGATACACAGAGACAGAAAGCAGATTGGTGGGTGCCTAGGGCGGAGAGGGGAGGGAGGGTCGGTGGTGATTGCTGATAGGTATGGGGTTTTTTTGGGGGGTGACGAAAATGTTTTGAATTAGATAGTGGTAATGGTAACACAGCATTGTGAATATACTAAAAACCACTGAATTGTACACTTAAAATGGTTAGGATGGAGAATTTTATGTGACCTTTATCTTGACAAAAATTTTAAAACATAAAAGCAGTATGGTCATAAATTTTTTGAATGTATATTCACATCAGTATTTCAGTTACTATGAAGTAATGCAACTCCCTTCAGAGTCAAAACAAAAAACAAGTTAAATCATTAAGGATAATATAGTTTCAGAGCTGACGGACCAGATGGATTATAAATTGTGTTTATTATAAAGTGGCTGGCAATGCCACTGTAGCTGGTGAAGAGACCACGTCTTGAATTAAGGTTTCTCAGGTTTGACCTTCAGTGATACTGATTTGACATTTAGAAACACACAAATGCACCCTCCTTAGTTGCTAAGCCAGAAGTTAAGAGAGAGGCACAGTGCATTTTTATTTCATCCATGTACTTTTTTTTTTTTTTTTTTTGAGACGGAGTCTTGCTCTGTCGACAGGCTGGAGGGCAGTGGGGCAATCTTGGCTCACTGCAACCTCTGCCTCCTGGGTTCAAGCGATTCTCTTGCCTCAGCCTCCCGAGTAGCTGGGACTACAGGTGCGCGCCACCACGCCCAGTTAATTTTGGTATTTTTAGTAGAGATGGGGTTTCACCATGTTGGCCAGAATGATGTCCATCTCTTGACCCCGTGATCCGCCTGCCTCAGCTTCCCAAGGTTCTGGGATTACAGGCGTGAGCCACCACACCCGGCCCCATGTACTTTTCTAAAAGCACTAAGGGCTTTTTTCCTCTTTTTCTCTTCCAAATGAAAACCCCACTCTGTTTTTGTTAAGTTCAAGCTGCGGTTGGTAGTGGTGAGCTCCTTGTCATTTAACGGAGACTGAACGAGTTCTGGAAGACAGGACCAGGTTTGAGGGCTAAGTGCTGTTTGCCGTCCATCCACAGGCCAAGGACCCAGTATCGGGAGAGCAGAGAGGCCGAGGACACACTGGTTCTTAGGAGCGCTCAAGGTTGTTCACCCTTGGGAGCAGTTTGTGAGCAGTGAAGGCAGGAAGGCAGGCCGTGAGCACCCAGGAAGCAAAGGCAGAGAATGCAGACATTCTTGGAGGATTTTTGTTAGCAAAGATAAAGGCTTCGGGAGGCCGAGGTGGGCGGATCACCTGAGGTCGGGAGTTCGAGACCAGCCTGACCAACATGGAAAAACCCCGTCTCTACTAAAAATACAAAATTAGCCAGGCGTGGTGGTGCATGCCTGTAATCCCAGGTACTCCGGAGGCTGAGGCAGGAGAATCGCTGAACCTGGAAGGTGGAGGTTGTGGTGAGCCGAGATTGGGCCATTGCACCCCAGCCTGGACAGCAAGAGTGAAACTCCATCTCAAAAAAAAAAAAAAGATAAAGGCAGGTGCAGGGTAGGCTAGAAATCCAGAAAGTTGTCCATAGACTGACAGTGATGAGGGCGTGTGTGATCATTTTCCACTTCATGCGTCGGAATGCACACAACTGCTTTCTTCAAACTGTTAACAGTACTGCTAAGAACTGAATTAACAGTTGAGATATTAAGTAACTTTATTTTAGCCATGTGGCAAAAATCAACCAGTCCATCACAGGCCAAGGATTTGCATTTGAGGAGCAGACAGAGAGGAGGTGTTAATGTGGAAGGGGCTGCGGGACACCTGTCGAGCTGCTCTCCTGGGTTAGAGGGCTGGTGGCGATACTGCCTTTCAGTTGAATGGCACTTTTGATGGTTTTCCCATTTGATTGTTACGGTTGTGGACCATGGGTAGAGTGTAGCTGTCTTTGCACACATTTTGTGGATACATAAACCAAGAGGAATAATAACTTAAGTGACATGTTTGAGGTTGGAAGGGTCAGTTTGTTTCAAACATGGAAGGACAGTGAGTCAGCTTTTTTTTTTTTTTTTTTTTTTTTTTGAGGCAGGGTTCACCTTGTCACCCAGGCTGGAATAGAGTGGTGTAGACACAGCTCACTGCAGCTTCAACCTCCTGGACTCAAGCAGTCCTCACACCTAACCTCCCGAGCAGCAGGGACTACAGGCATGCACCACCACGCCTGGCTATTTTCTATATTTCTATTTTAGAGATGGGGTTTCACCATGTTGCCCAGGCTGCTCGAACTCCTGGGCTCAAGTGATCCTGCCTGCCTCAGCTTCTCAAAGTGCAGGGATTACAAGCGTGAGCCACCACTCCTGGCCGTGAATTAGCATTTTGTTGTCTTTTTTTATTTGTTTTGAGACAGGGTCTCAAAACAGCCTTGAGCACTGTTGCCCTGGGCACTGTTGCCCAGGCTGGAGTGCAGTAGTGTGATCATAGCTCACTGCAGCCTTGACTTCCTGGGCTCAAGTGAGGCTCCCACGTCAGCCCGCAAAGTAGCTGGGAATACAGGTGCGCACCACCACACCTGGATCATTTTTGTATTTTTGGGAGGGACCAGGTTTCACCATGTTGCTTGGGTTGGTCTCAAACTCCTGGCCTCAAATGATCCTCCCACCCGAGCCCCCCAAAGTGCTGGGATTACAGGCAGGAGCCGCTATGCCTAGCTAGCGAATTAGCATTTAAAAAATATATACTTCCTGGTTCCCCCTACAGGAGTGTTGATTCAGCAAGGTGAGGCCCAGGAGTCTGCATTTGAATCAGCTCCACAGGTGGTTACTGTGCAGCCAGTCTGTACTTCCCGTCTTGCCTGTGCCGCCTCAACATCGTGGAGCCTGCGTGTTTTGCTAACTCGAGAGCCCAGGTGTGCAGTGCATTATTTTTCCTGATAGGCAGCATTCTGGTTTTGTGAATGGGTGTGCCTTTGGTTCCATTGCCATCATCTGGGCTGCGGACATTGACTGGGTTCCCCCTGGGTGCCCAGCACTTTGTCACAGGTCTGGGCTTCTGCTTTTCAGAGTAGAGTGGGGAAGACAGCTGGACATGCAGCCGGGAAGTGAGGAATGCCGGGGCTGGGGGCGGGTGTGACCACCTAGCAAGGGGACCTGTCCATGCCCACGTGGGAAGTAGAGGAGGCCTCTGCAGGAAATGGCCTCAAGCTGTGAACATCAGGTAAGTGGGAGCTGGTCAGGGAAAAGTGGCAGCTTCAGAGGTCAGAGGGAACAACCGTGGTGTGGAGGGCCAGCAGAGGAACAGACGGCATGTTGAGCGAGCTGTAGATTGCTGTGACCGATGTGCTGTGAGGCATGAGGTGAGGAGGGAGACGCTGGAGTCAGAATGGGCGGAGCTGACTTCTAGAGCGGCCACT
Organism: Homo sapiens; assembly: GCF_000001405.40. NCBI lineage: Eukaryota > Metazoa > Chordata > Mammalia > Primates > Hominidae > Homo > Homo sapiens. The sequence goes on from NW_021160005.1 coordinate 69,011, forward strand.
CTGACCTCTCTTCTGTGTGCTCATGGTGTCACCTGATAGAGTATCAAGGTCTGGATGAGACAATCCATGTTAAGTGCTTAGAACAATGTCTGGCAGATAATGCAACAGAAGTGTGTGTTATGACTTCTCATTTGGGTTAGAAGTTATTAGGGGGGCTTTGGGCTTGACCTTAAGGGCAATGGGAAGTTACTGAAGGATTTTAAGCAGGAAAGTCAGAGTCTGATTTGTTTCGGAAAACATAGAGAATGGATCCGAGCGGGGAAAGATTGAAGGCAGGGATGAGTTAGGCAGCTTTTTTAGTAGACCAAGGAGACACAGTGGCTTGGATAAAGGAAGCTGGGGCGAGGAGGTAGAGGAGTGGGCAGTTCTAGAAGATATGTGTGTGAGGGCGAATGAGGGGTCCTCAGCCAGTGGTTACTGTGGAGGAGGAGGCGATGTGATGTCTCAGTGTCTGACTTGGACAACTGGATGCTGATGTCCACTGCGTGAGAGCTTATGAGGAGTTGGGAGCTTGGGCAGGAAGATGATGATGAGCTCAGTGTGGACAAAGGTTTTTGAACCTCCAAGATATCTTGCCTGTAATCCCAGCACTTTGGGAGGTGGAGGCAGGAGGATCACTTGAGCCCAGGAGTTTGAGGCCAGCCTGGACAACATGACAAACCCCCATCTCTCCAGAAAATTAGCTGGGCATGGTGGCGCATGCCTGTGGTCCCAGATACTTGGGAGACTGAGGCAGGAGAATCACCTGAGCCTAGGAAGTCAAGGTTTCAGTGAGCCGTGATTGCCCCACTGCACTCCAGCCTGGATGAGAGATTGAGGTCGTGTCTCAAATAGAAATTTTAAAAAGTGCGGTTGGGCATTTGCCTAGGGTAGGTGATTGAAGCCACGGACACCGGCCGGATCAGGCAGGCACACTGCATAGGGTGAGCAGCAGACCGGAAATGTGGAACCCCAGGAGCACCAGCATTCTGTGAATAGACAGACAGGAAACAGGGTGAGGTGAAGAGATGGGGGTGAACAGTCAGAGGCTACCCAGTAGATGAGGACTGGAGCTGGCCTTTGGGTTTAGCAGAGGAGAGGTGGTGAGTGCCATGAAAGCAGCAGGCGCTGGAGACAATTGCAGTGGTGAGTAAGGGGCCAGGAAACAGAACTGAAGACCGAGACAACCCAGGCTGGGGAAAAGTTTCTGAACAAGTTACGTGTCCATGTGGACACCGTGTATTCTGGTCATGTCCTTGGGTTTAGCATTGTTTAGAAAGACAGAAAGGAGGACTGATCTTTTTTGTTTTTAATACTAAGCAATACAGACTTAAAAATTAAAACAAAAAAAAATTATCTTACTTCCAACTCTCATTCCCAACTGTAGTGGGTAACCAGCATCAGCAGCTTGGTGTGTATCTTTCTATATTTTATCTTATATATACTTGAAAAATACATAAAAGCGTGTGTTTGCTTTTAACCAAATAGGATCATATGGAAATGCGGTTCTGTACTATGTTTTTTTAACTCAATATTTATGTGGTCCCTAAATACTAGGTTTGGGCATACATTTTTTCAGCATGTATTTCTTAAAGAGAAACTGACAGGGAAAATAAATAAGATATTGTATTAGTCCGTTCTCACACCGCTATGAAAAAATACCAAGACTGGGTAATTCATAAAGGAAAGGTTTAATTGACTCACAGTTCCGCATGGCTGGGGAGGCCTCAGGAAAGTTACAGTCACAGGGGAAGGCAAAGGAGAAGCAGGCACCTTTTTCACTGGGCGGCAGGACGGAGTGCATGCAAGCAGGGGAAATGCCAGACACTTATAAAATCATCAGATCTCGTGAGACTCACTCACTATCACGAGAACGGCATGGGGTAACCGCCCTCATGATCCAGTTACCTCCACCTGGTCCTGCCCTCAACACATGGGAATTAGGGGATTATAATTCGAGATTTTGGGTGGCTTCACAGCCGTATCAGATATATTGGAACTTTAAAAATGTTTATGTAATCTGTTATACGCAAATATTGTCCAGTGATTGAAAAGCCAGTGCTACTTCAGTCACAGTGGCTTTGAACATGTTTAGAATTCAGTGAGATGATGAGACCAAATTTTTATAAAATTTATAAAAATGTGAAGTTTGTGGTCTTCTTTTCTAGTGTCCTCCTGTCCCCCTTTTATCATTAGGAGTGGTGCACCCTGCCATCTATCTATGGACTGACGGGCAGATAGATATAGATGTTTATTAGCATACTTTTAATCGTGGCACCAGGGTTTCAAAACATGATTTGCTCATTCATTTTAATATATAAACTTCTAATTTTCTTTATTTCAAATTTGACATGCTTTTAAACCTAGACTGAGGCGAGTAGCTTCTACTGCCTGAAGATCACAGTGTGAGCTCTGCATGCCGGTTTCTCATGTCCTTGTGTCCATTTATTAGACGTCTTTTTGACTGAGAAGACACAAGACTTTGCCTTCTGTGAAGTTCTTTTTTTCTGTTTTTTTTTTTTTTTTTTTTTTTTTGGTGGTAAAATACATGTAAGATAAAAATACCATCATAACCATTTTTAAGCACCCAGTTCACGGCATTAAGTATATTCACATTGTTGTGCAACCATTACTGCCACACATTTCCAGAACTTCCTCATCTTCCCAAACCGAAACTCCATCCCCATTAAACACCAACTCCCTATCTCACCCTCCCCACCCAGCGTTGTCCAGACACCTACCATTCTATTTTCTATCTCTATGAGTTTGACTGCTCTAGAGACCTCATATAAGTGGAATTCTACAGTGTTTTGTCTTTTCGTGACTGGCTTATTTCACTCAGCCCAACATCCTCAAGGTTCACCCATATTGTATTATGTGTCAGAATTTCCTTCCTTTTTTTTTAAATTTTTTTTTCTTTGAGACAGAGTTTGGCTCTCATTGCCCAGGCTGGAGTGCAGTGGCGCAGTCTCGGCTCACTGCAGCCTCTGCCTCCCAGGTTCAAGTGATTCTCATGCCTCAGCCTCCCAAATAGTTGGGATTACAGGCATGCACCACCACGCCTGGCTAATTTTTGTATTTTTAGTAGAGACGAGGTTTTGCCATTTTGGACAGGCTGGTCTTGAACTCCTTGCCTCAAGTAATCTGCCTACCTTGGCCTCCCAATGTGCTGGGATTACAGGCATGTGCCACCATGCCCTGCCAATTTCCCTTCCTTTTTATGGCTGAATAATATTCCACTGAGTGAAGTTTTATTTCATTTTCAGCAAAAGGTTAGTGAAATGTTGAAAAGCAGTTAAAAAGCAAAACAGAGCTATTGAAGGAGATTATAGAGAGTAAGAGATGTGGAATTGTAACATGGCCAAGTAAAGAAAACGGGAAGAGGAAAGGGTAAGGGGTGGGGCCCAGGCACCCACGTGAGGTTGGGGACCATGAGGCTCTGTTGCCCCTTTCCCACTGGCGATGGGGCTACTTCGAGGCATTGGGATGATGGGAAGAGGGCCCAGGCACCCACGTGAGGGTGGGGACCATGAGGCTCTGCTGCCCCTTTTCCACTGGCGATAGGGCTACTTCAAGCCATCGGAATGACGGGAAAAGATGGATCACTTTTGGCAATAAATGTCACATCTGATCTTAACTTGAAATTGACCTGATTGTGGCTTTTGAGTAATAATGTCTGGTCTATATAATATGAACCTGTTAGCCAGATCTAAACCTTTCGTTCAGAAGTGATAAACATCAGCATTATCAGGCATTATGTGAAACCAAGTTCTTTAGCTGATTTTAGTGTTACTTTCTGTTGTCTCAATCCTAGATAATGTCAAATAGAAATACATATTTGCATTCTTCAGATTTATATTTTAAATGAAAATATTCCGGTAATTATTGCATCTATTCTATTTCAGAAAATACTTGACACTTTAATTATTAAATAGAATGTCACTTTAAACTAGTGATATATTTGACTTACAGTATTTTTAAACTTAACATTTTTTTTTCCTAAATAGGAAAAAATGTACACTGACAATTAGATTCCTCTGATGTAATAAGGTAGATCATTTATTGCACATATTTGGGGTTCCTACTATTTTTTTTTCTGCAATAATAATGCAAGCAGTACATACAGGAACATGCTTTTGGGATCTTAAACTTTGGAATGTCCCGTCTAATGTTTACCTAAACTGCTAAGTTTAAATTTGCTTTGATATATTTTCAGTTGTTGGATTCTTCTGAGCAGAGAGAAAGGTTTTTTTCTTTAAGTGGAGTAATCATGAACGTCTATGAATTCGTTTTCTACTGTAGCCACAGCAGTATACCATAGAATAGTTTTGGTAGTTGAATATATTGGGAATACTTACATTTAACCAAAATAATAGAAATTCCCTGTATTCTCTTTGGTTTTAGAGGCAAATCTAAAATCTGGAAGTTGAAATGAGGATAGTTTGGGGTTCTTAGGAAAACCTTAGGGAAACTGTATGAAACAGAAAAAGGCTTGCTGCTGGTGCCGGAAGAGTGACAGCGTGCTGGGGGGTTTGTGCATGAGTGAAGGTGGGGCCAGGTGGGAGCCTTCCTGTTTCTGGATGGATGGTCTGTGCAGTAGTAACTCAGGCTGCATGGTTCTTGCATCATCCGAGTTGTGAAGTGCTCTTCCTCCACTTCCAGGTCCTCCTTGTTATGAGGACTTAGGCTTTGACTAGGGCTTTCATTTAAAGGTGACGAAATTTGTTCATAATAGACTTTTAAAAATAAAACACCGATATTCCACCTTCCTGGGACCGACAGTCCTAGGACCCTGCCACCTTGTCAGGATTCTTCATCTCCCCTACTGGTCCATTATTACCCTCCCAGCCCTGCCAGCCTTTCAGCTCCCTTGCCTCTTCCACTTCATTGCGCTTACCTGGCAGAAACCACCCCATTCAGTCCGTTCTCCATGCCCATTCACCTCCACTGACCCGCAGAGGCCCTAAGTGCCGCCAGCATCTCTGTTAGTGCATCCCGCCCTCTTTCTTCTACGCGGCATGCTGCCTACCCGTCCTCTCTTCTAGATGCCATTTCATACCTTCTCCTCTCCTATCTTCCCCAAATGTAAATGCAGAATGATGACATTGTGTTTGTTTTTTTCTGTGTGAAATTGGAAGAAATCAGAAAAGAAGTTCCACCAACTCCCACCACACCTCTGGATCTGCACCCCGCACCCCATGTCGTCTGCCCTCTTTCCCTTTACTGCGGGTGATCTGTGTGCCCCAGAAAAGGTCAGCCTCTCCTCTTAGTCACTTGACTTACCTGCTTTCAGCTGGACTCATCAGTTCCCACCTCCCCACTGGATTCTTGCCCTCACTATGCAAATGTCTGTCTCATCCTGCAAAGGTCTTTCTTGACCTCATATCTTCTCCAGCCACTGCACTGTTTTTCTTCCCCTTTACTGCAGAGTTCCTTGGAAGAATTTTCTGTACTCCCTGCTTTACTTCCACTCTTCCCATTCTCTTTGAACTCAGTCCAGTGAGGGTTTTGACCCGCCACTGCAGCATGCTGCAGATGTCACAGTCACCATCGATCTCCATTCCAGCAAGTCCGACCAACAAGCATCAGTCAGCTCATTTGATCCACTGGCATCAGTGAATACAGTTGATCATCCTCCTGGAAATAAGGATCTTCAAAGATCTTGAAGGGTTTCCTGGTTTTCCTCCTCATCCCTGATTGCTCCTAGCCTCTTTTGCTGATGCCCCTCAATGAGACTGTTGGGGGCTTGATCCCCATCTCTTCTCACCCTCCACCCAGGGCCTCACTGACTTGCATGGAACAAAATGATTATCCCCATTTGCAGTCTCTACAACACACCCAAAAACTCCAGACTGTGAATTGCGCTCAACTGTCTAATAACCATTTCAAATTTAGCACGTCCAAACCCAAACTTTTACACCTTCCCTTCAAAACATACTCTTCCCGTAGTCACTCCCTTCTCAGGAACCAATGACTCCATCCTTCACTTGCTTCCGCCAGAATCCTTGGAGGCATCCTCGTGCCTTTCTTTCTCTGCGATCTTTGACCTGTCAGGAGCTCCTGCTGGCTCTGTGGTGAACAGGTCCAGAGTCCCTGCTTCTCACCACCTGCGGTGAGCCCACCCTGGTCTGCTGCATAATTGCAGTCATTTCTTACCCATCTCCCCACTTCTGGCCTCACCTTCTCACAGGCTGTTCTGAAGACAGCATCCAGGGGAATCCTTTGAAAACGGGTGAAGGGCACGGCTCATGAGAATCCTTACTTAGGCTCTTTCTTTTCTCTAATATTGATTTTAGTTCAGATCCTCATTAATCCCTGGGATTATTGCAGTGAACTCACTGCTGATTTCCCAGTCTTAATCTCCTCCAGCCCGGGGGTAGCAGTGCTTCCAGCGACCTTTCATTGCTCCAACACACCCATTTTGAGCACATCCCTTATGCTAATGACTGACTGAGACTTTACCAGTTTTGCCCCATTTTCTGTTCAGAGTCCTCAAAGCCTGTAGATAAGGTGATTTCTATAGCCTTCAACATTAAATCCAGGTTTCATGCTGTGTGCTGTTGTTCTCTGAATGGCTGCCCACTTATGACCTCACCGGCTTCCTCCATACACGCTGCCCATGCCCCAGCCCTGCTGAAGCCCTTGCTTATCAGATACCTTCTGCTTTTGTGAAAGAGGCTCTCACTGGCTATACAGCATGTTCAGAATTCAGCTCAATTCAAGTGCTGTGTCCTTCAGCAAACCTTCCGAGAAGCACTCCCACTTCCCATCATGGATGGCTTCAACTCAGCTCCCGCAGTATCCTGGTCACCTCTCACCCAGAGCACGTACTGCTCTGAGGTTCCTGCCAGCTCGTCTGTCTGTTCTTTAAAGCATCCTGAGGAGTGGACAGGCCCTGTTTCTGTGTTGCTGCAGCGGCCAGCATAGACGAGATATGCACTATTTCTTGAAAGAACTGTAACGTCCGATCGAGGTGGAAGCACTCACTTGTGCTTTGATGCATCTCCCCTCCAAACACAACAGTGAAAAGGTACAATTTAAGTAGAGAAACAAACCAAAAAGCATAGCCAGCCCACCAAGCAAGAGAAATACCCTTCAGTACACAAACAGACTAGAAACCTAGCATGGTAAGCCTGAATTGACTGGATTTCACTGGCCACTGAGCCGCAGGCTCCAAGCAGGCAGTGTCAGTAGGAAAGTGGGTTCTTACAGGGGTAAGGGTAACAGGGACTAAAGTGTTCAGTGGAGTTAGAACTAGATGTAGCTACTTTTTTTTTTTTTTTTTTTTGAGACGCTCTCGTCACCCGGCCTGGAGTGCAGTGGTGTGATCACGGCTCAACCTGCTGGGCTCAAGCAGTCCTCCTGTCTCAGCTTCCTGAGTAGCCGGGTCTATGCTACTGGGTCTACGCATGGTGTGTGCCACCATGCCCGGCTAATTTTTTATGTTTTGTAGAGATGGGGTCTCACTATGTTGCCCAAGCTGGTCTTGAACTCCTGGGCTCAAGCAGTCCTCCAACCTTGGCCTCCCAAAGTGCTGAGATTACAGGCAAGAGCCACCATGCCTGGCCTTAGATGGTTTTTGGAGCTGGAGTTAGATAAGGTTTCCCCATCTAAGGCAATTCTCTGCTATACAGATTGGGGCTCTACTGGCAGTTGTGGTCCTAGGGAGGTAGAATGCAAGGCCTGGGATGAGCCATGCTATTCCATGGTTCTCTACCAGGGTCTGCACTGTTGGTGACATAACCACGCAACAGAATCCTGCATCACCATGGAAAACCTAGTTCTGGACGGAGGCCTTGGAAGGCTTGGAGGGCAACAACCACAGAACACTAGTGCTATGGGCTGAATACTTTTGTGTTCCCTGCTCTGCCAAAGTCATATGCTCAAATCCCACTCCCTGGTTTCACTGTATTAGAAGGTAGAGCCCTTGGGAGGGGATTAGGTCATGAGGGTGGACTCCTTGTGAATGGAATAATGTGCTTAGAAGAGACCCCATAGAGATCCCTGGTCCCTTCCATCATGTGAGGACATAGAAGCTGGCAGTTGGGCCCTCACCAGACACCAAATCTGCTGATGTCTTGCTTCTGAACTTCCAGCCTCGAGAACTGTGAAGAATGAATTTCTGTTGTTTAAAAGGTAATGGGAGTTAGTTACAGCAGCCTGAATGGACTGAGCCACTAGACAGGGAGGAGAGCACCAGCAACAGAAAACCTTCTGTCGCGATGAGCCCGAGACCCCAATTCCTCTATGCTCAAAGACCTCTAATACACATCCTCACAGAGCTGATGCCTTACAGAGCTGTGCATTTACTGCATCGGAAATTTAAGGACAGTCTGGCAAAAACTGTCAAAATAAGTATGTTTAAGATGCTTAAAAAGATAAATTAGCATCCATGAAAACAAACAAGAAATTGCCCAAAAGGAAACAAGAGTAAGAAGATATGACCCAAAAAAGAAAAAGAAAAAGGAAGAAGAACTTGAAATCTAGTAAATGAAAAGGATATTAGCCAGGATGATAGACTCTGGACCAGACATAGTCAAAGACAAAATTAGTGGATTGGCAGTTACTTCACAAAATTGACCCAGATGACAGGGACAAGATGGAGGGGCACAATGATAAAATTCAAGGTCCTGAATTCAGGCAGGCCTGTAGCCGACTCTGTACTTTGACTTGACAGTTATGTGCCATATTATGGCTATTTATTAATTATTATTTTTTGAGATGGAGTTTCGCTCTTGTTGCCCAGGCTGGAATGCAGTGGTGCAATCTCGGCCCACCGGAACCTCCACCTCCCGGGTTCAAGCGATTCTCCTGTCTCAGCGTCCTGAGTAGCTGGGATTACAGGCATGCACCACCATGCACCACCATGTCCAGCTAATTTTGTATTTTTAGTAGAGATGGTGTTTCTCCATGTTGGTCAGGCTGGACTCGAACTCCCGACCTCAGGTGATCTGCCTGCCTCGGCCTCCCAAACTGTTGGGATTACAGGTGTGAGCCACCATGCCTGGCCTAATAATGGCTTTTTAACTGAAGCTAGTTTGAGTCTGTTTGCTTTTTGCCTGCAAGAGAAATAATCTTTCCTCATGTACGAACCCCTTCATGAGATGACAGTGTTTCGTTAAAGTTAGCCATTAGATGATCTGACAGTCAGCTAGAGTTAATTATCAGAGATGTAAATCGGTATTTGATATGATTAATATTGGCACATAAGAAATCTCTGAAACTTAGGAAGGAAAACAAACTTGGTGGGAGGACATGGACAGAAGACCGGTCTACTTGGCGGCCTCTCCCTACCCTCCTCCCGCACGCTGCCCAGCCCAGGAGCCCGCTTCTGAATGCTGCGTTCGATCTCTGAAGAGGTTTCAGCACTTACAGATCCTTACCAGGTTTTAAGCCACATTTGGGTGATCTTCATTAGTATTGTTGGCATTTCTTTGTGTTTGCAAGTATGCACTGAAATACTGAATTGAAGAGCTATTCATGTTCTTTAGCTAATTTTATGGTCTCAGGAGCAGCCTTGTCTCCAAAACTCACTGTATAATATGTTTATAATGTCTATATATATTTAATTGCAATAAAATATACTAAGATAAAACTTGCCAGCTTAAGCAGTTCAGTGAATGCTAGATTCATGTAGTGGAATGTGCTTGTGTCCCCTCCCCACCCCCGCTGTGTTCAGCCTCTGCTGTTACTCCCCAGCCAGGCGCAGCTTTGGATGTGTCCACAGTCACCCTGCTGCTGTCTTCCACTCTCTCTGACCACACTCAGTTCTGAGCCCCACATATGTTTCTGTTGTCTTCAGCAGTGCCCTGGGATAATTAGAAACCAATTCAGTGAAATTGTGGCTAATTCTAAGAAACAGTTTCTGAAGTCATTTTAGGAGATTTGTTCCTACTCTGGAGGGCTCCTGCAGCAAGAATTCTCCAGCTCTCCCTGCTGACTAGCCAGCCGCAGTCCAGGCTGTGCCTCCATTAAACCCACACCTCCAGTTGCCTTCACTAGGACCTCCACTGCTCCTAGGTTTAAAGAGAGTGCCCAGGGTTTAAATGTTAGTGCCCTAACATTTAAAGAGGTTTAAATGTCACCAAACTCGTTTCTCCCTGAATGACGCCCCTGGTCTTATGGCGGCAGCCAGGGCCCTCTCAGCTTGTCACTCCAGCCCTGCAGCTACCGTCTTACAGAGCCAGGGCACAGCTGATCAGGACCCCCAGTATTCTCAGCCTGCCACACTCAAAGTTGAGCCTCCATTCCAGAATGGAGGCTGGACAGAGGTAGGAAGGCCCACTTTGCCCATGACTCCACTAGCCAGGATGCAGCATCAGCACCACGTAGCTGGGGTGGGGTGGAACTGGGGGAGAGGGCACTACATTATCAGCTGCAGCAGTCTGGAACAGAGTCGCTGCCTCACTGACCTGGAAAGGGGAGGCAGGGAGCAGTCTTGGTTCAAATACAACAGACTCTGGCCTTTCTTACTGAATTTTCAGTTGTTTGCTGTGAACCCTTAGAACGATCTCCAGAGTCTCAGAACAGTTGTTTTCTTACAATGTTCACCTGTTTTCCTTGGGAGCAAGCAGGTCAGTGGAGCTTCTTGTGCTGTCATGCTAGAAGTTGATTACCCACAGTAGGGATTCTTGCAGAAGAAATATTACTTTAGAAGAGAGGCTGGGCACGGTGGCTCAAGCCTGTGGTCTCAGCTACTTGGGAGGGTCACTTGAGCTCTGGAGGTCAAAACTGCAGTGAGCCATGGTCACACCATTGCACTCTAGCCTGGGTGACACAATGAGACCCTGTCTCAGAAAGAAAAAGGAAGAAAAGGAGGCTAGGACAGGGGTGGTGGCCTTCTAGGCCATCTTTCCTCTCTCTCCAGCAACTCTAGATCACATGTCTGTGAGTCATTTAAAATGTCTTCATTCAGTTCATGTCAGGATCCTGTTCAGGAAAATGTTTTGGACTTCTCTGGCTGCTGAGAAGGTGGACTTGGATTCCCCTTCTTTCCCTGCTGTCCTTGTCCCAGGGTGCAGGGATAGAGGGAAGTCAGATGGTCTGTCAGTGTTGTGATTTGTTAGGGAATCTGTGTGGTCCATTGATGCCCTCTTTCTCTGGAGGATCACTGAGATCCCTTCCCCATAACTTGTAATGAGGTTGCCTTTGTGTGAAGACTGTGGAGCCTTGATGAAAGGCTTTCTTTAGGGGGTCTTTCTTATTTATTTAATTTTGTTTTGTGATTTTCTAGGAGTTCGCAGCACTTACTAAAGAACTCAATGTATGCAGGGAACAGCTCCTTGAAAGGGAAGAAGAAATTGCTGAACTGAAAGCAGAAAGGAATAACACCAGGGTGAGTGTGACCTTTCTGTTCACTGCCTGCCCCTGGAGCCACTGTCAGGAGGAGGGGCGGTGTGTCAAAACGAAAGGACGACCCACTCTGTCTGGCCTGAAATACTTTTCATACCTTTTCCCACTGAGCAGACTGTGATTAGTCAGCATGATCACACATTAATGGCTTGAAATTTGTGATGAGAATTTATGATATTTTAATACAATTGAGAGGAATTTGTTTTTCTGCGGAATTGAAGGGACTTCATTTTAGTATGAGACTGTAAAGGAGTTATTTGCCCCAGATTCAATCATGAAATTAAAAATGCTGTTTAACAAGTCTTTATTTTGGCCTTTTATTTCAGCTGCTGTTAGAGCATTTGGAATGCCTTGTCTCCAGGCATGAGCGGTCTCTTAGGATGACCGTGGTGAAGAGACAAGCGCAGTCTCCAGCAGGCGTGTCCAGCGAAGTGGAAGTGCTGAAAGCACTGAAGTCCTTATTTGAACACCACAAAGCTCTGGATGAAAAGGTGCCATCAGCCACATAAGTCTTGGTTTGTGCACATGCTGTGTATTAGGCCAGCTTCACAAGTGTTGGTGTAACTTTTGTTTTTTGAAGCTTCTTGAATTCTTGGAAATAACTTCTCTAAGAAGACAGGGTTTTGTAGGTTTAAAAAGTACTAATTGGCTTAAATGTCTTAAAATTACTAATGTATATTGATTTGCTGTTACAAATTGGGTAGTATTAGGTTGTTGCAAAAGTAATTGTGGGCAAAACCTGCAATTACTTTTGCAACAACCTGATATTTCGGGGGAAGATTTATTTTTCTGAAACTTAATTTAGAGCCATTAACAAGTTTTCTTGACAGTAAGATCAATGACAGACATTAATGGTATTTTATTATGTTATATTACACTAATATATACATTAAGTGTATATATTACACTTAACTATATATTAAGAATAAAATAAACAGTATACACACACACACACAAACTCAACCCCTTTTATTTTCAGGTGAGAGAGCGATTACGAGTAGCACTTGAAAGATGTAGTTTGTTAGAAGAGGAATTAGGTGCCACACACAAAGAGGTAAGCTTGAGACTTCATCATGAGTTGAATTGGGGGGGGGTTATTTTTATCCTTTAATTATTAAAAGCAGCATAAGGCCAGACGTGGTGGCTCACACCTGTCATCCCAGCACTTTGGGAGACCGAGGCGGGCGGATCACCTGAGGTCAGGAGTTCCAAGACCAGCCTGACCAACATGGTGAAACCCCATTTCTACTAAAAATACAAAAATTAGCCAGGAGTTGTGGCATGTTCCTTTAGTCCCAGCTGCTCGGGAGGCTGAGACATGAGAATTGCTTGAGCCCAGGAGGTGGAGGTTGCAATGAGCTGAGATTGCACCATTGCACTCCAGCCTGGGTGACAGAGCAAGACTCTGTCTCCAAAAAAAAAAAAAAAAAGTAAAAGAAGTATAAGGACTGTAGTTGTACATATCACATGTTACTTATCTTCCCAATTGAGGACCAGCCTATCTGAGTCATTTTAAGGACTACAAAATGATGGTTACCTAAGGACTCGTCTGGCCAGTGGATAATAAATTCCATCTTCAATGATCTGGTTATTTTCGGATTGGGTAGCATTGCCATATGCTTTCTCTTTTATACTATGTTAAGCAGTTTTTAGTTGTGTTTTTCCAAAAGGAGTTTTGCTATCTTTACTTATTTCTCTTATGTAAGGTATTTTACACTCATATTCAATTTTTTGCTTTCAGCTAATGATTCTTAAAGAACAGAATAATCAGAAAAAAACTCTAACAGATGGAGTGCTGGACATAAACCATGAACAAGAAAATACACCAAGCACGAGTGGAAAGGCAAGTCTGTAGGCTTTGTCTTTATTCTGTTTGATTTCATTTGTTCACAGTATGTGTCGGGTTATGTGGAAAACAGTTGCTAAAGTACCGGCTTAGAGCTGAAGTGGTCATGAAAGTTGTGTAATCCAACAGATTGCATAAGTCAGTTTTGATTTTAGCTATTTCCTGGAAGTATTTTTATTTTATAGCTCACCAAACAAGGGTATTTAAGGATTTTTTTTTCCCCCTATCAGAGATCTTCTGATGGTTCTTTAAGCCACGAGGAAGACCTTGCTAAAGTAATTGAGCTCCAAGAAATCATAAGTAAGCAGTCAAGGGAACAGAGCCAAATGAAAGAACGCCTGGCTTCCCTTTCCAGTCATGTGACAGAACTGGAAGAGGATCTGGACACGGCTAGAAAAGATCTCATCAAATCTGAAGAAATGAACACAAAATTGCAACGAGATGTCCGTGAAGTGAGCAATAACAAAAACTACAGTCTTGTCATGAAGTTGTATGTTTGGGACGTTTTAGTTAAATGATTTTTTTTCTCTGTTTGTCTCTTACTCTCCCAATTACTTTCAACCTTTGGATTATTGTATAAGTTATATTGAAAAAGAGAGAGTGCTGTGAAACTGCCATAAGCTACCTCCCCATTTTTGTTGTGAAATCTCCTGTCCCTGAGCTCTTCAAAGTAGAGAACTAGTCCCACTGACTGACATGGCCATGAAGTGGACGCCACACTGGCCTCTCCTACCTGTGCTGCTTTAATATTCTTTAATGTCCTTGTTTGTAGATTCTTCATCTGTGCAATTTCTAGGCTGTCTTAATTTGTTCTTATGTTCAGATTGCCTTCTGTTGCACACATACTTAGCAAGCAGATATTGATACTGGCTGTGCTAGCTCACGTAGGGCAATGTGAGTATAGTCTCTTAACTGTGGGAGGGGGCGTTGCTGGCGGTCTTCTCATTTTCTGACCTGCTCCTTCAAGGAATTTGTGGCGTTGAATATTAATGGTCAAACAATCAAGAGTGGAATTTGCTTCTACATGGGTCATCAGGATCGTATAGCAAAAATATGTCACAATATACTCATTGCTGACAAATATTTCTGCCATTATAACTGTGAGAAACTATTTGATCATGAATGCCGGGCGTGGTGGCTCACGCCTGTAATCCCAGCACTTTGGGAGGCTTAGGCGGGCGGATCACGAGGTCAGGAGATCGAGACCATCCTGGCTAACACGGTGAAACCCCGTCTCTACTAAAAAATACAAAAAAATTAGCCAGGCGTGGTGGCGGGCGCCTGTAGTCCCAGCTACTCGGGAGGCTGAGGCAGGAGAATGGCGTGAGCCCAGGAGGCAGAGCTTTCAGTAAGCCGAGATCGGGACACTGCACTCCAGCCTGGGCGGCAGAGCGAGACTCCGTCTCAAAAAAAAAAAAGAGAGAAACTATTTGATCATGAAACAGTGAGGCTGAGTGCTTTCTCAGGTGCCCTTCCTGTCACTTTCTAACCTGCGCTTTGTCCCTTGTCAGGCGCCTCAACCGTTGAATGTCTGCTTTTCAGTTTGGTAGTTTGACGTTGAGTAATTTCATGTAGGAATTCACCACAGGAAGAACATTTGCATGTAGTATGTCACCTAAGGTTCTATTCTTTGGCTACAGCAGGAGATTATGTGGCAGAGATTAATATGCAGAGAATTTTGAAATTCTTTTAAGACCTATCACTTTTATTTTTTAATTTTTTATTTTAACTTTTAAGTTTGGGGTACACGTGTAGGTCTGTTACATAAGTAAACTTGTGTCCTGGCGGTTTGTTTTACAAATTATTTCATCACCCAGGTACCAAGCCTAGTTATTTTTCCTGATCCTCTTCTTCCTCCTATCCTCCACCCTCCACCCTTTGATAGGCCCCAGTGTGTGTTGTTCCCCTCTGTCTGTCCCTGTGTTCTCATCAGTTAGCTCCCACTTATAAGTGAGAACATGAGGTATTTTGTTTTTCTGTTTCTGTGTTTGCTAAAGATAATGGCCGCCAGCTCCATCCATGTCTCTGCAAAGGACATGATCTCATTCTGTTTTATGGCTGCATAGTATTCCATGGTGTATACGTACCACATTTTCTTTATGGAGTCTATCATTGATGGGCATTTAGGTTGATTCCTTGTCTTTGCTGTTGTGAATAGTGCTGCAGTGAACATACGTGTGCGTGTGTCTTTATAATACAACGATTTATATTCCTTTGGGTATATACCCCGTAATGGGATTTCTGGGTTGGTATTTCCATCTTTAGGTCTTTGAGGAATCTCCACACTGTCTTCCACGATGGTTGAACTAATTTACCCTCCCACCAAGAGCAGGAAAACATTCCTTTTTCTCCACAACCTCACCAGCATCTGTTACTGATTGACTTTTCCACAATAGCCATTCTGACTGGTGTGAGATGCTGTCTCATTGTGGTTTTGATTGGCATTTGTCTAATCGGTGATGTTGAGCTTTTTTCCCCTATCACTTGTAATATTTAGACTTTGCTAACTTTAGTCATTTTATAAATAGGGAACAACTTGAAAATAGTGAATTCTGGGGGTGGAGGACAGGTATTTCTCAAGCAAAAAGTTCTGGTCCTAGCCTTAAGTGTTTGAAACTGTATAGTAATCATCTTGTAGACTTCAGGTAGTTGCATCCAATTAAATTAAACTGGTACTTCTGTTTCCATTTGTCAATATGCTTGAGTCTTGTAATTGTATGAGAGTTCATCCAACCCTTATCCTAGAAAGTGAGACTTGTATCTCACTACTGTGTCCACTGAGAGAGGCCGCACCCTGTCCTGTGTGAGACCATTTGTAGCGTGAGGCAGACGTAGACTGCGTCTTCTTTGAGGACACTTTCACCTCCTTGAAAAATATTTAGATATTTGAGTGTATATATTTTTATAATATTATGTAGAAACAGGAAAGCTTGGTCAACTGAGTGGCCAGACATAGTATTAAGAGAGACAAGTCTTTGTTAATCGTATAGGTGAATATTTATGGTATTTGAGGTAGTTACATTTTCATTCACATTTGAGAAAATTGACATCTTCATCAATTTAATTTTGAGGACATTATTATTTATTTATTTATTTTTGAGACAGGATCTCTCTCTGTTACCCAGGCTGGAGTGCAGTGGCGCCATCATAGCTCACTGCAGCCTTGAACTGCTGGACTCGAGCAATCCTCCTGTCTCAGACTCCCAAGTACCTGGGACTACAGGGGCGTGCCACCATGCGTGGCTAATTTTTGTTTCTTTAAAATGTTTTTGGCCAGGGACACTGGCTCACGCCTGTAATCCTAACACTTTGGGAGGCCAAAGGAAGGCCAAGGAGGATCTCTTGAGCCCAGGAAACTCAAGACCAGCCTGGGCGATATAGTAAGACCTCTATTTCTACAAAAAATTAAAAATTAGTTGGATATAGGAGTGTGCGCTTGTAGTCCCAGCTACTGGGAAGATTGAGGTGGAAGGATCCCTTGAGCCTGGGAAGTCAAGGCTGTGGTGAGCCTTGATTGCACCACAGCATTCCATCCTAGGTGATAGAGGGAGACTCTGACTCAAAAAACAAAATAAAATATTTTTGTAGAGACAAGGTCTTGAACTCCTTGCCTGAAGCCATCCTCCCGCCTTAGCCTCCCAAAGTGCTGTGATTATAGGAGTGAGCTGCTGTATCTGGCCTGAGGATGCTAATTTTTAATTTGATTGGAAATTTGGGATTTACTTCAGTTTTTTTCTCTCTTAAGTATCTTAATGTGTAATCGTTAATTACCTACTTTTTTGTCCCCTCTGAAATACCTAATTTAGGCCATGGCCCAAAAGGAAGATATGGAAGAGAGAATCACTACTCTTGAAAAACGCTACCTCGCTGCACAGCGTGAAGCCACATCTGTGCATGACCTCAATGATAAACTTGAAAATGAAATTGCAAATAAAGATTCTATGCATCGACAGGTAATGGATTTTATCGACCTTTGTCTGGCTTTAGTTAATTATTAATGAAGTTAAAGACCCTTTTTCTCTCACTTTCATGTTGGAAATCAAGTCCAAATATCAAGTTTTTATGACCTTAGAATATTATGTTCAAGACATGTGGGAGTTCCTTCAGTTTAGAGGTTTTGATTACGTAGGATTTGATTTAACCAATTTTGTCCTCAGTTTTTTCTTTTGTTGTAATTGAAAGTTAATCTATTGCTTGTTAGCATTTTTACCAAAGGAGCAGAGAGTGGCAAAGAACTTCAAGGCAATTGGCTATTTGTAACTAAGTGGGAGCACTATGATACATGAATAGTATGACAAATGAAGTCTTGGTCGGATGCGGTGGCTCATGCCTGTCATTCTAACACTTCGGGAGGCTGAGGTGGGAAGATCGCTTGAGCCCAGGAATGTGAGAACAGCCTGTCTCTACAGAAAATTAATAAATTAGCCGGGCATGGTGGCATGTGCCTTTAGCCCTAGCTACTCAGGAGGCTAAGGAGGGAGGATGACTTGAGCCCTGGAGTTCAAGGCTTCATTGTGCTATGATTGTGCCACTGGACTCCAGCCTGGGCCACAGAACGAGACCCCGTCTCTAAAATAAAAAATGCGGCCAGGCGCGGTGGCTCACACCTGTAATCCCAGCACTTTGGGAGGCCGAGGCAGGTGGATCATGAGGTCAGGCATTTGAGACCAGCCTGACCAACATGGTGAAACTGCGTCTCTACTAAAAATACAAAAATTAGCTGGGCTTGGTGGCGCGCATCTGTAATCCCAGCTGCTACTCAGGAGGCTGAGGCAGGAGAATCGCTTGAACCCAAGAGGCGGAGGTTGCAGTGAGCCGAGATTGTGCCACTGCACTCCAGCCTGGGTGACACAGCTAGACTCCGTCTCAAAAAAAAAAAAAAGGCAGTGAAGTCTGTAGTAAGAAATTGGGTCTCCTGTGGTTTCGTAAACCATACTTATTCTTGTAATTACGAGTATCACTGTATTCCAGCCTGGGTGACAGAGCAAGACTCTGTCTTTAAACAAACAAAAAAAAAGCTTCTTAAAAGTTATTTAGGAAAAGCAAACACTTTGACAAGAGGTGTTTTGCACATTGAAACCAAGACCAGGAAAGTGGGCATGTACTCCTGGC
The DNA here is from genome assembly GCF_000001405.40 of Homo sapiens. Taxonomy (NCBI): domain Eukaryota; kingdom Metazoa; phylum Chordata; class Mammalia; order Primates; family Hominidae; genus Homo; species Homo sapiens. The sequence continues at coordinate 87,300 of NW_021160005.1, forward strand.
AGCAAGAAAACCTTACCCAGGCCGGGCACAGTGGCGCACACCTGTAATCCCACCACTTTGGGAGGCTGAGGCGGGTGGATCACTTGAGGTTAGGAGTTCAAGACCAGCCTGGCCAACATGCCGAAGTCCTGTCTCTACTAAAAATACAAAAATTAGCCAGACCTGGTGGCACATGCCTGTAATTGCAGCTACTCAGGAGGCTGAGGCAGGAGAATTGCTTGAACTCAGGAGGTGGAGGTTGCAGTGAGCCAAGATTGTGCCACTGCACTCCAGCCTGGGTGACAAAGCGAGACTATGTCTCAAAAACAAAAACAAAAACAAAAACAAAAACAAAAACCTGACCCAGAAGCAACTCCCATCACTGTAGCTCTTCCATCATGACTCTCTTAGTCTGTATCTGCATTTCAGTTTGTTTCAATCTGTTAAAAACTGATCAGCTAGAAGATTTGTTGCATTTTGATGCTTTGCTCTCATTTTATAGACTGAAGATAAAAACCGCCAGTTACAGGAGCGCTTGGAATTGGCAGAGCAAAAGCTGCAACAGACACTGAGGAAGGCAGAGACGCTCCCGGAGGTGGAGGCGGAGCTGGCCCAGAGGGTGGCAGCGCTTTCCAAGGTAGTGCCATGAGCTTCATTCTGGTTCGGCTGCCAGGCCTGTGACTGTGCCTTGCCTGTGTACCTTGTTTGTCACTGTTCTTATTACATCAGCACCTAAATCCGTGGAAGAGCACGGATTTGGTTTGAGTGCTCTTTCATCTGAGATTGGAACACTTTGTAAATGCCAGACATGATCCTTTTATCCCGAAGTCTACCTTGGTTTTGTGAGCTGTATACTATTTGTCCACGGCATGTGTGATCTGAGAGTTACTGCTTCTTAGAATTGTTTTGGTCACCAGCTTAAGCATAGGATAGAAGTCTCTGTAAAAGAAGGGTAGTTTTTCTCAGAAATAGGAAGATGCCGTTCTTTTAAAAACACCATCAAGATAAATTCTTCATAAACACATTTTTAAGTAATTTTATTATTTTGAAATTACTTAAAAATGTATTTTTAAGTAATATTTATTATTTTGAAATTACTTAAAAATGTGTTTTTAAGTAATATTTATTCATTTGTCCAACAACTGTTGACTAGGCATGTGCAAGACACAGTCCCTCCAAGTTCTCCCCATTCATGAGGGAAGCAGCTAAAGAGGCAAATGCTGTCATAGGTCCTGGGATCGGCGAGTACCCAGGGAGCGCATCACCGGGCACAAACCCAGCCTCTGGGGCGTGGGGAGCCCAGCACTGCAGTGCCAGGCAGGCGAGCAGCAGGAGCTGAGGCCCCTGTCTGTCGTCCTGAGTCTTCTTGCTCAAGCTTTTCAAGCTGCTGGGGAGGGCATCCTTCTGGACCATTCAGATGGTTTTAGGGCTCACACACCTGTTCCTTCTAGCAAGTTTGTTGCTAACAGCTGTAAGAACCTATCCTCCCACTCCATGATCTGCTTTTAAAGTCTCGATTTCTTTTCTCCCCTGTTATCTTTCCTGTCCCTTGTCGGCTTTGTAGTCTGACCTTTTGTCTTCTGGGAGCTCTGCTGCTAAGGAAGCTAAACTGTTGGAACTTACTTCCAAGCTTAGGAAGGTAGAATGGGTGCACTGCTCCTTGCTTGTGCTTGCCGCTGCTTTCTGCTTTCCATGCTTACTAACCAGAAGCAGTCCAAGGATGGGAGAATCACGACTCCATTGAGATTGGGCATAGGGGTTGGGGGGAAAACACCCAGTCAGTCGCCAGCAGCAGCCATGCTTCAGAATCACCAACACAAGAGGGCTAGCCACCTCATGGCCCAGCACGTGAAGCCCCGTAGGCTGTGTTGATGGATGAGTACATGCTTTCCATTTAGTATGGCGGAGCAGCCCACGCAGAGCATGTTGTGCCTGTTGCCACTGCAGTGGTATGCAGCATGTCGTTAATGAAGTGTAAGGATGACGTCAGCGTACGCTGTTTCTGCTGACAGGCTGAAGAGAGACACGGCAACATTGAAGAAAGGTTACGACAGATGGAAGCACAGTTGGAGGAGAAGAATCAAGAACTGCAGCGGGTGAGCATGCAGCCCTGAGGGTGGGGGCGCTGAGTGGGTGCTGCAAGGTCATTGCTCGGCTGTGGGGAGCTCAGGGCCTCCCACCCCTGACTGAGATGTTGGTCCTCCAGCTCAGTTCTGGTCGCGTGCATTTGTTTTGCACCCTCATCTGTGAGTCGCCTGCTAATGCGTACATCCCACACAGTAGTTGTTTTCAGTCAGTATTGGGAGCTGCGGAAGAAATTTGAGATCCTAGGCAGTACTTCAGGTGTCCAAAAATGCTTCTTGCTTGTCTAGCGGCCTATCAGGGGAACTGTTCTAGGTAGCTGTGGTACCGGCGTGGCCCCCCTACCCCCTGCAAATGTAGAGGCAGGTCCATTGTCCTGAATGACTAGTCCACTTTTCTAGGATATGGCACTGAATTCCCACATGCAGGTCAGAGGCCTGACCTCTGTCCCAGGTTAAAATACTCCAAACATAATGGCGTGTTGGAATGAATGTTTCTAAGCAAGAGCAACACCGTAATTGAGCTACAATAAAAAGCACTAGGAAGGAGTGTGGCAGTGGAGACTTCTGTCCATTGAATCCTAAGATTGTTTTCCTGAAAGAGTTGGGTGGATGTCAATATGGAACATCCAGGAAAAAGATATAGCAAGAGCAGTCCCAGGGCCAGCTGGTACCAGGCCTGGGGTTTGGGGTAGATTTCTCTTTAACAAGTAGGTGGAGAAAGGAAGCATGCAGCGTCTAATTTTAGAACTCTTGCACCGTCACATCAGCCCACTTTATAACATTAATTTAAGGCTACTAGATTTTGTTTTCACCAGAAATCTGTATTCTTGGCCATGCCCTGCAGAGAATCAAAGGAGCTTCTGGGAAACGACGATTCCGACTCCCAGTGAGAGGGTGCATTTTAGGCAGTCCCCACCTCCCCTTCCAAAATGCACACTCATGCTCACAGACACAACAGTGAACTTTAAGCTGTGTTCTTTAAAAATTATTTAAATGCTGACGGAAAATAAGCACAAAGAAGGATATTGTTTCTTTCCCAAGAGGAAGTATGCGATACTCCGTATGGCACATGATGTGCTGGACCCTTTCAGGTAATGATAGTTGCTACATGTTAGACCTTATGAGAAAAGGAGAGGTCACTACCCATGTTTTCCCAGTGCAGAAATTGGGCGCACGGGGTTCGAATGCACTGCTGATGGCGCGGTCTCATGGCTGTCTCCTCCTGCCTGGGCAGCATGACTCGGGTGCACGTCGTAACCCCGTGCCATTGCCTCCTGCCTGGGAGGAGCCCCCTGAGCACTGCAAGGGCACTTGGGCGATGAGGGCATGGAGGTGCCACCTGGACAGGTGCCACCTACTGACACTTCCTGTCCCTTTCTGCCTGTCATTTGAGAAACAAAGGTTTTAAACCATGAATTTGATTATGGTTTTATAAAATAATAGACATGTCAGTTTTGTTACTACATATTAAAATTACTTAAGGTAATTATTTATAATTTTTGAATGTAAATTTCCATTACGAGAAATTTAAGCAACATAAAGATATAAAGAAAAAATATGAAGGTCTCTCTAGCACAATTTTTTTTTCCAAAACAAACTTTTTAACTTTTTTGCTTTGTAAATTAAGTTCACCCTTCCTCCCCAAATCCAGACCCAAGCTTTTAGTTACACAAGGGGAAATTCCTCTACCAGCGTGGAGACAGGCTCATCCTCTAAATATCTGCTATAAATCTGCTCCTTAAGTCCCTCTGACAGTTAACAACTAGTGACATTCCTGAGGAGTCCTGTGGCAGGAGCAGTGGGACCTTCTAGTTAATGACCTTTCCAAGACTTGTCCCGTGCTCCCTGTGTCCATGAGTTGGTTCTGGTCACCATGCAAAAGTCCACTCAAGATGGCAGTGTGGGGAGCAACTGGGGGAGGGGAGGGCACACATGGGGCTCACCCTGTTGGTCCTTGTGCTTTTAAAATAATGATCGAGGATTTACGTGAGGTTTATAAGACTTTGTTTCTCCTGCTTTAGGCAAGGCAAAGAGAAAAAATGAACGAAGAACATAATAAACGTTTATCAGACACTGTTGACAAGCTGCTTTCAGAATCTAATGAGAGGCTTCAACTTCATCTTAAAGAGAGAATGGCTGCTTTGGAAGATAAGGTAAGTTAGATAACACGGACATGCTGGAGCTTTCCCACCCTCTGCCAAAAGATTGCTCATCTGCCCCTGAGCAGGCGTGTGTAACAGTGGTTAGCAGCTGTTACCGAAAATGGGAATTATTCTTTAAAGTGGAAAAGGTATGCACAGTTATCCAGTCACTGAATTAACTTATTGTTTGCTAAGTCCATGCCCCATTTGTGTGTATGGGAAATTGTTTATCATTCTTATTCTCTAGAATGAGAGTAGGTAAGTGGTTTTTATAAAGGGCCAGATTGTAAATATTTTAGGCTTTTAGTAGTTATGAGTAATTAAATAATTTTATGCCAATCAAGTCATTAGCACAAAAGCAGCCATAAATAACGTGTAAATGAATGAGTCTGGCTATGTTCCAATAAAATTCATTTGTAGAAACAAGCAGTGGGCTGGTTTTGGCCGTCAGGTTCTAGTTTGCCAGCCCCTGCACTAGGATCATTTTTTGGGCCCAACCCTCACCCCTTTATTATTCATGCATTGGAAGTTAATTTCTGGCTGGGCGTGGTGGCTCACGTCTGTAATCCCAGCACTTTGGGAGGCTGAGGCAGGCAGATCACTTCAGCCAGGAGTTCAAGACCAGCCTGGCCAACATGGCCAAACGCCATCTCTACTAAAAATATAAAAATTAGCCAGGCCTGGGGGCACCCGCCTGTAGTCCCAGCTACTTGAGAAGCTAAGGCATGAAAATCGCTTGAACCCAGGAGGTGGAGGTTGTAGTGAGCCAAGATTGCGCCACTGTACTTCATTCAGCCTGTGTGACAGAGCAAGATCCTGTTTCAAAAAAAAAAAAAAAAAGTTAATTTCTGTCTCATTTATAAATAGGTCACTTAGGTTGTATCGTGTACTAGAAAGGGTTCAGTCAGCTGAAACCAAATAAATATTCCAACCTCTACCTTCGTTCTTTTTCATTTGATTTGGAAAAAGTTTAAGCCTGGACTCTGAGTACTGTCATCATGGAAACATGTTAGCTGTCACCAGAGCGAAGGGATATCCTAGAATCTGTGTCGGAGAAGCTCTAATGGGCAGCAGCTGGATTCCCGTTTGATAAAGCCTGTCCTGACTGTGCAGTGTCCCTAGCGATGGGACTCAGAAACTGCCCTGAGATTGGTTGTTAGGATTGGGGTCTGCTCATCTGAGAGACTAATGATTCCCGCTCATTGCATGACACGTTTATTTACACGGTGCTGACCATGGAGGGCATTTCCAGAGACCATACAGAGTCATTATCCCACTCACCTCCTTGATCAGTGGGTCAGCCTTAATGGAGCAGTGTTTTTATCTTTGATTTTAATTATGCATTTGAAACTTAAATTCAGGTTTCCCAAGTGACCAAGAAATTGTAAAGCCTAAAAGTTAGTATAAGCCAGTTTAACTGATTAAAATGAACTTGCACCATGAACTTGACATACCTACCTTTAGGAAGTTCAGTTGGTGAGGAGTAGATATATTAGTAAGAGATATAAGAGAAGGTGTCGCCGCCTCACGGTCTAACCCTGGGACTACAGCAGTGCTTGCTGGTGTGCTCTTTTACTCCGTTCCCTTTGTGTGGTCCTTTTTTTTTTTAAACGAATACAGCCATGCTATATTTAAATGGGACATTTTAAAGAAACACTAAAGGACTATCTGTCTTTTTTCAGAACTCTCTTTTAAGAGAAGTTGAAAGTGCAAAAAAGCAGTTAGAAGAAACACAACACGATAAGGTACTGAAATCTTCTCTAAATCCATGAAGAGCCAAGTTGAACTGAGTTGATGATGATGATAGTTACTGCAGATGTCTGACAGTGGAGAGCAGCTTGGTTTGTGGCTCTCATAGTCCACTGCCATAAGTTTCTAGCACTCTCAGGCTTGTATGTTGAATGCCTTTGTATTTCAGGTGATTTTGAGTCTGGCTATGCATATGGTTCAGAATTCGGAGTCCTTTCTGGGTTTATTTGAAGCTAAAATATTAGCATCAATGACAGTGCTGTCCAACAGAAATATAATATGAGCTGCATATGTAATGTTTAATTTTCTAATAGTCATATTTTAGAAAGTAATAGGTAAAATCTATTTTATTTAATTCAGTATATGCAAAATGTTATTATTTCATAATGTATTAATAGAAACAAGTGAGCTACTTTGCGTTCTTTTTCCACTGTGTATTTCCTAGTCATAGCACATCTCCATTTAGACTAACCCATTACAGGGCTCAGTAGCCACGTCTGGCCAGTGTTGGACAGCACAGCTCTAGAAATGAGATCAAGTATACCCATGACACAGGGATGGGTGCATACTTGATGTAAGACAATTAAACACAATACAGAGATGCACAGGACGTGAATATTGTTCCCCTTCTCCTCTAAAAGAGTCTGCTTCTCTACGAAACTAATAATTGTTAATCATTTGGTGTTTATCTTCTGAAAAGCTTTTCTATGACTAAGACACAGCTTTTCATTCATTAGGGCTTACAAAGTTAATATAGTAGTCTGAGTGTTTATGTTTATTGCAGTACTCTTGGAGAAAATTTTCCCAGAATTAAAATGTTTGGTATTTGTAACTGCTGATTTAACCTGTTAGGGTTATGCCCAACATCTGAGCACATTTGAAGTAAGTGGTTTTAAAATCTAAAAGAGATAGCAGTAATGTAAGTCTTTTGCTTTTCTGTAGGATCAGCTTGTCCTAAACATTGAAGCACTGAGGGCTGAACTAGACCACATGAGACTAAGAGGTGCTTCACTTCATCATGGGTATGGTATTAACCAGTGAGCAGCCATATTGTCAGCACCTGTGGCAGGCCAGTTCTTGGCTATGTGGGCAGCCTAACTGGATGTGGCTAATGGTGTGACCTCAAGGAGCCTGTAGCTTAGTAGGAAGCGAGAGAGAAAAGTAACTCAAAGGTTAGAGCTTGGTACTGAGGAGACACATCATTGGCGAAACTCCAAAACACAGGAGGAGTTTTGATCAGTTAATATTTGGATATCTTAATTTAGGTGCCCAGCAGAGTGTGACACTGATGATGTAAGAGCAGAATGACAGATCCCAAGATCTCACACCACAGATGCTGGCACGGGTGGGACAATTGCAGAGCAGTTGAAGGCCAGCAGTGGCGTGTGGCTGTGTTTTTCGTCAGCCCTGGGAAAGTGGAGCAGAAATGCAGAGCCAGACACCTGGACCCAGAGGAGGGGTCTCTCTCATCCTAGACAGCTGGGCTCCTTGTGGCTCATCACCTTGGCTGTCTGCACAGCTTTTCCTGGAGAGCTTTCTACCTGGTAGGGCTGAGAGACTAAAACTGTTGGCCTGGAGCAGGCAACATGTAGCTCTTGGGGCAGATGAGAGCAGTGCCCTCCCTGGAGACCCTTTCCTGTGTGGAATAACTTTTCCAAATTGATAGATTCTGCCTTAACTAAAAGAGAGTTTATTTTCTTTTCTTCTAATAATGATCATTCTTATTTTTCATGTTTCAGCCGACCCCACTTGGGCAGTGTCCCAGATTTCAGGTTCCCCATGGCAGACGGCCACACAGACTCCTACAGCACCAGTGCAGTGCTGCGGCGCCCACAGAAAGGCCGGCTGGCAGCCCTGCGAGATGAGCCTTCCAAGGCAAGGTCTTTGTGTGAAATACCTCTGCTTACGTGAAAGTTACCTACTTATCCCGTGGCTTTCAGACTACTTTGGGATAAAAATGTTGATAGGTCATTGCTTTCTTGCCCTCCTCTCATTTTCTATTTTCTGACTAAGAGTTTAGCTTTTAGAGCATTTTTTAAAATAGGGTTTTGTTTTTGTTTTTGTTTTTGTTTTAAAGAGGTAGGGTCTGTGTTGCCCAAGCTGGTCTTGAACTCCTGGCCTCACACAGTCCTCTTGCCTCGGCCTCACAAAGTGCTGGGACTACAGGTGTGAGCCACCGTGCCTGGCCTCTGTAGTTTTTTTTTTTTTTTCCTTTTAATAGGAATTCTTATAAAAATACAGTCACTTTTAAATACAATGATAATCATGGATTTAAAGTAGTGATTAAAAATAAATGAGTAGGCCAGGTGCAGGTAGCTCACGCCTATAATCCCAGAACTTTGGGAGGCCAAGGCGGGTGGATCACCTGAGGTCAGGAGTTTGAGATCAGCCTGGTCAACATGGTGAAACCCCGTCTCTACTAAAAATACAAAAAATTAGCTCGGCACAGTGGCAGGTGCCTATAATCCCAGCTACTCAGAAGGCTGAGGCAGAAGAATCGCTTGAACCCGGGAGGCGTTGCAGCGAGCTGAGAAAGCACCATTGCACTCCAGCCTGGGCTACAAGAGTGAAACTCCATCTTAAAAAATAAAATAAAAAGCCGAGTGCAGTGCCTCACACCTGTAATCCCAGTGCTTTGGGAGGATCGCTTGAAGCCAGGAGCTTGAGACCAGCTTTGGCAACACAGGGAGACCCCTGTCTCTATTAAAAAAAAAAAAAAGAAAAAATTAGTTGGGTGTGGTAGTGTGTGCCTATAGTCCCAGCTACTCAGGAGGCTGAGGCAGAAGGATCCTTTGAGCCCAGGAGATTGAGACCAGCCTGGGCATCATAGTAGGACCCTGTCTCTACAAATAAAGAAATTAGCTGGGCATGGTGGCATGTCCCTGCAGTCCCAGCTATTCTTGGGGCTGGGGTAGAAGGATCCCTTTGAGCCCCGGGAGGTCAACGCTATGGTGAGCTCTATGATTGCACCACTGCGCTCCAGCTTGGTCAACAGAGTAAGACCCTGTTTCTACAAAATAAAAGAAGTAATTGAATACATATATTCGTCATTTAGTGAAAAGAATTCACCTTTGAACGTTTACCTTCTTTCTTTGGTCTGTTCAGCAGCATTTGTTTCAATACACGCAAGTATAATTTTAGCCCCCATCGTCACTCAACAGCTAGTTTGGGCCAGGCCGCATTACAGACCTGTAGAGTCCTAGGCCTGCAGCAGTGTGTAATAAAACAGGAAGAATGCCTGCATCCCAGAGGACACAAACAGTCGACAGATAGAGTCTGGTAGTGTGTGTGTGTTGACTATTGGTGTGGAACAAATTACTACGGAGCTCAGTGGCTTAAAACAGTGAACATTTCGTAGTTCACAGCTCCTGTGAGCACAGGAGCAGCAGAGCAGGATAGTCCCGGCTCAATCTGGCAAGGCTGGAGCCACAGAAAGACCCAACTGGGGCAGGAGGCCTCGGGGCCATCAGCCACCACTTGGAACTGGCCACCGGGGCTGCTCTAGGGTCCTTGCATTGTGATGCAAGCAGCCCGTACTCTAGGAGAGGGCGAGGAGAAAGTCCCACAGCCTTTCCAGTCCTGGTCTTGGAAGCCACAGCCTTCACTTCCTCTCTATTCTGTTCATTTGAGTGAGGTGCTGAGTCCTGCCCACACTCAGCGTTTGGGGTGAGAATCACCCTCCACCTCTTAAAGGGACGAGTGTTAAAAGTGTTTGTGGACATATTTTTAAACGATCCCTGTACGTCAGATGGTAATAAGCATGGAAGTGGGACTCAGGGCGGCCCTGAGTTGTGGAGTGAGCAGGGAAATAAGAATTTTAAGAAGGGAGGCCAGGGAGTCAGTATAGTGAGGGTGACGTCTGAGCAGGGGCGTGAAGGAGGAAGGAGAAGGAGCACATGGAGCGTGTTCAGTGTATTGTTATGGAGTGCCAACAAGATTTGCTGAGGGATTGGATCCAGGGTGAGAAGGAAAGAGAGGAAGTCAAAGATGACTCCAAGCCTTTGGGCTTGAACAGCCGGAAGGATGGAGTCTGTTTTTTGAGATGAGGAAGACACTGGCTTAGAGGAGACTAGGAATTGAGCCAGGGCCATGTTCAGGTTGATGGGACTGTCAGCTGTCCAGGGGAGGTGGCAGGTTGGCTGTTGAATATCACAGTCTGGAACCCAAGAGACATCTAGAACTAGAGATGAAAATTGGGGCATTTTGCGCATATGGATGGTATTAAGAAACATGAGACAAGATGACACCACCTCATGGGTGCCTGGATGGAGACAAGGTCTAAGAATGGAGCTCTGGGGTGCTCCAAGGCCATCGGTGGGGAGACTGGGAAGGAATGAGACAGAGGCATGACCAGCGAGGGGTAGGGTCCTGGGACCAACTGGGTAGAGTGCTCAGGGAAGAGAGGAGAGCAGCGGAGCCCACCCTGCTGATGGGCCAGGTCAGGTGGGAGACGGGACAAAGGGACAGCTGGTGGCCTTAGTAACGGGGAGCACGTTGGAACTGCCATAGAATAGTCCCGCTGGCAGGGAAGTAAGCGCTGAAAGCTGGCCTGCAGCAAGGTCTAGAGAAGTGGGGAGAGGAAGACAGAATGGAGGTGGCTCACCAGGATCTTTTACTCTGGTTGGGAGCAAAACAGTGGAGGCGTGGGTGAAAGGAGACCCGCCCGGGCAGGGACTGGGGAAGGGCCTTGGTTTCTGCCGTGGTGTTTTAAGGTGAGATGGGGGAGAAGATGTCCTTATGCTAATGGGACGAGCTAGTGGAACTTGCTTATCCAGAGAGGGAGCTGTGATGGCCGGAGATCCGGGTGTGAGCCAGGGCTTGAGGCTGCTGCCCAGCAGGTGGGGCTGACCTCAGAGAGGAGGAAGGCCGAGTGCAGGCCTTGGTTTTGTCTCCATGAAATGGGAAGGTCGCCAGTTGGGAGTGAGAATGGGAGAGGAGGTGTTGGGGGCTTGAAGAGTGAGGTGGCATGAAAGAATCACCCCTGGGGGGATTGCGTAGGTCCCGGCACACACACTTTTCCCTCTGCATTCTGATGACATACATAATGCCTCAGTCAGACACGGCCACTCAGCACTGAGCTGCCCATGCCGCATACACTGCCATTCTTGAGGTTGCCCTTGATTCTCTCAGTTGCTGCTGCCCTCCTTTTCCTCGTTCGAGCTTGGTAGTGCCAGCCTCAGGTAGGGCGGGATGTGGACACGCAGGTTGGTTAGAGGGAACTTGAAAACACTTATGAAATTTACGGCAACTGAGTGAACTCAGTTGATATGGATTTAAATCTTTTTTATTTCTGTAACTTTCCAGTAGCATGTATAATTGGAGTAAGGTGTATTTTTTTATTGATCCATATTAAGTATACATATTTTGGGGATATATGTGATAATTTGATACATTCGTATAATTAAATCAGGGTAATTGGGATATCCATCACCTTACGTATTTCTCTTTTCTTTACACTAGGAACATTCAAGTTATTCCCTTGCAGCTATTTTGAAATGTACCACCTTTTTTTTTTTTTTTTTTTTTTTTTTTTTGAGGCAGAGTCTCTTTCTGTCGCCCAGGCTGGAGTGCAGTGGCGCGACCTGGACTCATTGCAACTTCCACCTCCCAGGTTCAAGCAATTCTCCTGCCTCAGCCTCTCCAGTAGCTGGGATTACAGGCATGAGCCACTACACCTGGCTAATTTTTGTATTTTTAGTAGAGATGGGGTTTCGCCATGCTGGCCAGGTTGGTCTCGAACTCCTGACCTCAGGTGATCACCCACCTCAGCCTCCCAAAATGCTGGGTTTACAGGTATGTGCCACCACGCCTGGCGTGTATCACCTAGTAATGTTAACTTTAGTCACCCTGCTGATCTGTCCAACACCAGGTCTTATTTCTTCTAAGGCTATATTTGCAGCCATTGATCAGCCTCTCTTCATCCTCCCCCTGCCCACCCTTCCCGGCTGATTTTCGGTTTTTGTTTCTGACTCTGCCATCTCCCAGTTGTGTATTTCGCCATGGAAATGCCACATGTCCATGTTAGGGCGTTAATATCACAAGGGTCCAAGGAATGGATTGTTGCCCTCCCCAATTTCTTAAATACTGCCTGCTTCATGTCAGTACCTTATAAGCATGGCCCATCTTTCTAAAATCTTTTGGGCTTTCATTAAAGAATTCCTAAATTTCCGATAGATTTATGTTTCTACAACTAATGTTGTTACTTTATCTACTGAGATTTGGTTTTCTTGTTTATAGGTACAAACTCTTAATGAGCAGGATTGGGAACGTGCCCAGCAAGCTAGTGTCTTGGCAAATGTAGCACAAGCATTCGAGAGTGATGCTGACGTGTCTGATGGTGAAGATGACAGGGACACTCTCCTCAGCTCAGTTGACCTGCTATCGCCCAGCGGGCAGGCCGACGCGCACACACTAGCCATGATGCTTCAGGAGCAGCTGGACGCCATCAACAAAGAGATCAGGTGTGTGCAACCGTGCATGACACTCACCACACGCATGGGTGTCTCTGAGGAATCTCATCTTGCCTGGAAAAGTCTGGATGAAATACTATTAACATTTTCTAAGTATTACATAATAATAGAACTTACTTAACTTCTGTTTTAAGAATTTTAAGGTCTGAAATTGCCCTTGAATATAAAATTCAGGTAACCAGGGCACTCTCCCCACAGTTACGGCACTAGTACCTTTCTGTAGGACATTGTGGGACCTGAGAGGTCCTTCCCCTGAGAAGCTCGCCACATAGCTGGAGGGTGCTGAAGGGGCTCAGCCCAGCTCCCACTGCCGTCCTGAAAGCTGCACCTGGAAGGCCACATGAGCTGAGCACATCTGGAGGAGGCTGATCGGCCTACCTTCCTGATCCAGAGTGCAGATGAAAGGTGTGCACGGTGGTGGGCTGGGAAGAGATGACGGACTGAAGCCTGCCTTGAATGAATAGCAGTGGCTGCCTCCACAGGCCAGTGCCACTCACCAGAGAGACCAGCACTCAGAACACATGCACACCGGAGCGGGCGCATATGGTGGGAAGCGGGAGGAAGGGTTGCTTATCAACCCTCTTCTGGTCTTAGTGTCCCTCCTTGACCCTGAACCCTGAAAGGAGCGCGTTGCTATCACCTGCCGCATGTGCAGCCTCCTGCACAGAAGAGGCTGTGTGTAGTGACGTTTAAAAGTGTAGAACGTTTACCTTCTTACTTTGGTCTGTTCAGCAGCGTTTGTTTCAATACACGCAAGTATAATTTTAGCCCCCATCGTCACTCAACAGCTAGTTTGGGCCAGGCCCCATTACAGACCTGTAGAGTCCTAGGCCTGCAGCAGTGTGTAATAAAACAGGAAGAATGCCTGCATCCCAGAGGACACAAACAGTCGACAGATAGAGTCTGGTAGTGTGTGTGTGTTGACTGTTGGTGTAGAACAAATTACTACGGAGCTCAGTGGCTTAAAACAGTGAACATTTCGTAGTTCACAGCTCCTGTGAGCACAGGAGCAGCAGAGCAGGACAGTCCCGGCTCAATCTGGCAAGGCTGGAGCCACAGAAAGACCCAACTGGGGCAGGAGGCCTCGGGGCCATCAGCCACCACTTGGAACTGGCCACCGGGGCTGCTCTAGGGTCCTTGCATTGTGATGCAAGCAGCCCGTACTCTAGGAGAGGGCGAGGAGAAAGTCCCACAGCCTTTCCAGTCCTGGTCTTGGAAGCCACAGCCTTCACTTCCTCTCTATTCTGTTCATTTGAGTGAGGTGCTGAGTCCTGCCCACACTCAGCGTTTGGGGTGAGAATCACCCTCCACCTCTTAAAGGGACGAGTGTTAAAAGTGTTTGTGGACATATTTTTAAACGATCCCTGTACGTCAGATGGTAATAAGCATGGAAGTGGGACTCAGGGCGGCCCTGAGTTGTGGAGTGAGCAGGGAAATAAGAATTTTAAGAAGGGAGGCCAGGGAGTCAGTATAGTGAGGGTGACGTCTGAGCAGGGGCGTGAAGGAGGAAGGAGAAGGAGCACATGGAGCATGTTCAGTGTATTGTTATGGAGTGCCAACAAGATTTGCTGAGGGATTGGATCCAGGGTGAGAAGGAAAGACAGGAGTCAGAGATGACTCCAAGCCTTTGGGCTGAACAGCTGGAAGGATGGAGTCTGTTTGTTGAGATGAGGAAGACACTGGTTTAGAGGAGACTAGGAATTGAGCCAGGGCTGTGTTCAGACCAGCCTTGGCAACATAGGAAGACCTCATCTCTACAAAAAAAATTAAAAAAAATGAGCCAGGTATGGTAGTGCATACCTGTCACACCAGCTACTTGGGAGGCTGAGGCGGGAGGATCCCTTGAGCCCAGGAGTTCGAGGCTGCAGCGAGCTGTGATCATGCTGCTGCCCTCCAGCCAGGATGACAGAGTGAGATCTGTCTCAAAAAATATAAAAATTAGGCCAGGCACTGTGATGAGTGTGCGTACATCAGAGCCTCACATGTTCAGGTCCCGTCACACAGTGGCCTGGTACAGAACACTGGAGCTCTTCAGGAGTGCACGGCTCCACTCCAGTGTTCCTTTCCCTGTGTGAAGTTAACATGGACAGTGAGTGCTCAGATTGCAGGTTTGAATCTTTCTTGTCTCGTCAGTATTTTAAAGGGTTTTTCTTTAGCAACTTTAGCAGTTATAATGCAGAACTTACAAAACGGGCCAACTGTAGAATGGAATCCAAGAATTGCTTTTATATTTATGAAGAGACCGGTAAACCCTGCCCACGCTGGCTTGGCCTAGGGACACAGCAGTGTGACCAGGGGGTGCCTGGGATCTACCCTCGGGCCCTGGCCTGACGTGCTGCTTGGCTAGCCTGAATCCAAGGGAGGAGCAGGTGTGTGTGTGGAGTCCTGCAGCAGGTCTGGGTGGGGTGCTGCCACGACTTGCTTGTGAAGTTTACGTGGGTGGAGGTGCCAGTCCTGGTCAGAGAGAACAGGAGGTAAAGAAGAGAAGGTTGAGAGAAACATCAACAAGAGCTGTGTTACTCCAGCTTTTTTTTTTTATTAAAAAGAAAAAAATAGGGCTGTACATTCTGAAGTAAGAAGTTGGTGTGCTGCCTGTGTTTTTGACTTTATAACTCCCATTTCATGTGCCACCTTGAAAACTGGCGAAGAGACCTCTGCAGCATCTGTTGCCAGGCATGGGGGCCCTTTGAAGGAGGAGGTGCAAAATAATTAGTGTGATGAAGCGTTCAGAAAGATCGTCTTTCCTCATCATTATGGGAGCTGGGAAAGGATTATATACCTTTTGTTTTTATTTCTTATGATGTATAGCTAGATAAAAGTGTTTCCTCTTTATGCAGAAAGTTGACCTGATGTAAGTGTTCTGTCCACTGACTTGTGGATTTTCTTCTATTAATAATGATCAAAAAGCACTTTTCTTAGAAATGTAAGTAGAACTTTAATTGGAAGGGTTATTGCAAGGTTTCTATATTTTAATACTAGAATAATTATTATTGGCACAGTCAAATATTAAAACTGCTGTCTAGTGATCCATGACACTCTAGGAGAGAGGAGCGTTAATCTTGAATTCCAAATTAATGTAGCATGGTTGGCATGAATCCAGAAATTTACATGAGGATGGTAGAGAATCCCATCAGATAACGCTCTGGTTCAAATTTAAACTAAAAAAAAGAACCAACTCAATATTTTCGTTTAGTCTAAACAGTTAAGTGTTGGGAAACTCCTAATTGTTTTGTGCATCTGTTCTTTATATTAGAGTTCCTGATTTCCAGTTGAAGAAATCTGTAGATTTCTTCAGCTTTGCTCTAAGAATAGGGGAGATAAGGGTCATAAAATTTTAAAATATCACTTAGTAAGGAAATTATTAATTGCAACCATAGGAAAAATTGCCATCCAGCCTTCTCCAGAATTTTTGTGTAAATAAGTAAAATCAAATGTTAATGATATCCAGAACCAACAAGACTCAATGGAAGGTTTACTTTTTGTTGTTGTAAGATGTAGTATATTAAAAAAGATTGAGGCCAGTGTGGTGGCTCATGCCAGTAATCCCACCACTTTGGGAGGAGGCTGAGGTTGGAGGATGTCTTGAAGTCAGGAGTTTGAGACCAGCCTTGGCAACATAGGAAGACCTTGTCTCTACAAAAAAAATTTTAAAAGATGAGCCAGGCGTGGTAGTGCATACCTGTTGCCCCAGCTACTTGGGAGGCTGAGGCAGGAGGATCCCTTGAGTCCAGGAGTTCGAGGCTGCAGTGAGCTGTGATCATGCTACTGCACTCCAGCCGGGATGACAGTGTGAGACCCTGTCTGAAAAAATAAAAAATTTGGCCAGGAGCTGTGGCTCGCGCCTGTAATCCCACTACTTTGGGAGGCCGAGGCAGGCGGATCACGAGGTTGGAAGTTCGAGACCAGCCTGGCCAACATGGTGAAACCCCGTGTCTACTAAAAATACGAAAAATTAGCCGGGCATGGTGGCACGCGCCTGTAATCCCAGCTACTCAGGAGGCTGAGGCAGGAGAATTATTTGAACCCAGGAGGCAGAGGTTGCAGTGAGCCGAGATCGCGCCACTGCACTCTAGCCTGGGCAACAGAGCGAGACTCCATCTCAAAAGAAAAATAAATAAATAAAAATTTAAAAAGAGTAGAACATTTTTGCTGAAGTGTTCATTGTTTGAGCAGCTTATTACTGGAGTTTACTCATAGTAATACAGAGTATAAGCATGGTTTTTCTCATGCAAACACATTAATCTGTTTGCCGAAACAGGAGGACTGACTGCTTTTGTTTTATTTTAGGTTGATTCAGGAAGAAAAAGAAAATACAGAGCAGCGGGCAGAGGAGATTGAAAGTCGAGTTGGCAGTGGAAGTCTAGACAATCTTGGTCGTTTTAGATCAATGAGCTCCATTCCCCCCTACCCTGCTTCCTCGCTTGCTAGCTCCTCCCCTCCGGGCAGTGGGCGCTCCACCCCACGAAGGATCCCTCACAGCCCAGCTCGGGAAGTGGACAGACTGGGCGTCATGACCCTTGTACGTATCCGCCCTTTCCCTGCTGTGGCTGCCCTCAGCATACCTGTATGAAATCTTGGACACTACAAATCTACCCACAAGAAAATCAAGTACATTCGTTATTCTAAGAGGTTCAAGATTATAAAAACTAGTTACTATTTAATCATTCAGTTATGACAAACTAATTTTAATATCTGGGGCCGGGCGTGGTGGCTCATGCCTGTGATTCCTCACACTTTGGGAGACTGAGGTGGGCAGATCACTTGAGCCCAGGAGGTCAAAACCAGCTGGGCAACATGGCAAAACCCCATCTTTACAAAAAGTAGCTGGGCCTGGTGGTGTGTGCCTGTAGTCCCAGCTACTCTGGAGGTTGAGGTGGGAGGATCACCTGAGCCCAGGAGGTCGAGGCTACAGTGAGCCATGATTGCATCACTGCCCTCCAGCCTGGGCAGCAGAGTGAGACCCTGTCTCAAAACAAATCCCAAAAAATATAAAAAAAAATTTTAATATTTGGATGACCAGGCTAGCATTACACCATTTGTTTGTGTGACATTAGGCATGACATCTGTGCAAAGTACAGCAGCCAGAAGGGGAAATATTTTCTGTTTTATAGGAAAAACCACTTAGCAAAAGTAAATAAAGGCAGACATCAGAGCATATGGGAAAATGCACAAAGTGGGTCAGTGCATTTCTTTCCTTTCGGAGTGCCCAACCAGCTTCCTGGGCATCTACTACCAAAAAAAAAAAAAAAAAAAAAAGGAAAAACATGAAATGGGTTCTGCATTTGAAGCCGTGAACAAGCCAGCTGCTTCGTGGCTCCCTAAGGAAGCAGATGGGCTTCTTCCCTTCACAGCTTAGGGTCACCTCTCACCTGGAAATGCAATGACCTTCTGGTGTTTGGTGTTTGCAAAGTGTGCAGATCTGAGGAATGTTTAAAACTTTCCTTTGGGCCTGGCATGGTATTTCACGCCTGTAATCCCAGCACTTTGGAGAGGCCAAGGTGGGAGGATTGCTTGAGCTAGGAGTTAAGAGACCAACCTGGGCAACATAGTGAGAACCCCATCTTTATCTAAAAAAAAACCAAACTATCTTGTATATTTAGAATTTGTCAGTGTGTTGTCAATGAAATATTTCATATTTACACCATTTGCTTTTTAACTGTGCTTCTATCATATTTTTTCCCGTTACCATCTATTTTCGTTTTTAGTTGTGTTGTTAGCCAGCATGCAATTAAATCGACGGTGAATCATTTTAGTGGCATATGAGGTGGTAACTAGTCTATTTTGCAGTGTTTTGAAATACTGTTTTTATAATTTACATCATCTACTAATTAGGTAACATTTTAAACTCTTTGACTGTTTTATTTGTGGGCTTGTGCTTATTTCTGTCCAGAGAATTCGTAAAAACAGTTGTGTATGTATATATATTTTTTCTGGTTTTGTAATTCTGTATGCTGGCTGACAGTCTCTATGCTTCCGTCATTGGTTTTGATTTCCTGTCATCCTTTTGTTTTATTATTTTAGCCATCTCCAGATTCATTTTTAATCCAGACCTCAGGTCCCCATCAGTCAGTAGTTTACTCATCCACCTCCCCTCCCAGTTCCACCCCATGCTATAGCGATTCTTCACAGCATGCTCAGGTAACCACGCAACTGTGTGTGTTCGATCATGTTTGTGAGTTTGTGCTGTGATGACTTTATTAATGGGTTGTTTTTTTCTCAGTTAAAAGTATCTTTTTCTCAATGGTAATTTAAATTAGTGTATTACTATATAGTAAGTATGGATACAGGCAAGACATAGGTGTTTAAGAGTTTTTTTACTCAAATTATGTAGGATTTGTGTAATTCATAAGTGTTTCCTACATAACTAATCTAAGCGTAGAATTAATGGAAGCTGTTTACACAAACAGTATGCTTTCTGGTTCTGATGATTGTGTTCAAGACTGTAAATCTCATCAGCCTGTTGAGTCTCATCAACTATCTCTAATAGGTTATTTTTAAATTAAAATATCTTATGTGAATCATAGGATGGATGTAAAGATTCTACCTAATATTATGCTAGCTTTTGTTCTTATATATTTTCACAGGATACCTTGCTTTAAGCAATAAATTTATTTTTGAAAAGTGGTAAATCAAATTCTAGGTAAGGATTTTACATTAATGTCCAACAGGTGATTAACTAAAAGTAGGTTTGTTCAGTTTTATAATTGGTATTGCAGTAACTTCCTCATCCGTTGGAATATTTTTAATTATAACATGGATTTTATTAAAGAAAACTAAGTTATAGAGAGGTTTGGCTTAGAATAGATGATTGTTAGGGCCTTTTATTATATAGAATGCCATATTTTAATAAAACACATGAAATAGAATTTTATCTAAGTAATAATTTATAGTGTTTCTCTAATAAACCTTTAATAACTTATATTTAAATTTTTTGGTGAAAAAATGGTTCTGTATCCAGTTACATTTTCTCTAAATCCTGTCTCCTGTCATTTCTATTTTAATATATTTGCTTATACTGATCCTTGAATTTTTAACTTCAAAGTGTATATAGTAAATCTGGTTTCTCTTCATTTCTTTGCATGCATCTATCAGCCTAGTGATTTAAGGAAACATCGTAGAAAGGTAAATTGTTTAGTAATTTAACATATCTTTGTATCTCCATAATGTATTGAAGAGTACCTATCATATTTTCCATAAATGTAGCATTATGTAGTTGTATAATAATGAATGGTTGGCGTTTTAATGGAAGTGTTTAAAGTGACCTAGCACCTTACTGACAATTGTTCTATTGGAAATTGGTCATTAGCGGTTTTCACAGAACACTGGGACAAATGTAACAGCTTGCCATTCTCTCACCTTTTCAGCCTTCTGATCATTACATGCTTATTCATAGATGTAGTAGTTTTAAAAATAAGAAATTACTAGTGCAAAGCTATAGAATGTAGATGCGGGGGGACCCATTTTCATAATAATCACAGCTAGCATTGGGCTCTTGCTGTATGCCAGGCACTGTGCTGAGTGCTTTCCCAGTCTGGTATAGGCTGAGTGTCCCTGATCTGAGATGCTTAGGGCCAGAGGTATTTCAGATTTCAGATTTGTTTAAATTTTGAAATATTTGCATTACACTTACTAGTTGAGCCTCTCAAATCTGAAAATCCAAAATCTGAAATGCTCCATTGACCATTTCCTTCAAGCATCATGTCAGCACTCAAATTATAGATTTTGGAGCATTTTGAATATCAGATTTTTGGGTTTGGGATGCTCAACCCGTATTTAATCCCCATACACATCCCTGTGAGGTTACTGTTGTTATCCCCATTTTACAGATGTGGAAACTAAAGCTTAGAGAGGCCCCACAGTGCACAGTGCAGATTTGAGTTCAGATTTGTCTGATTTCAAAACCTGACAGTTGACCACTTCACCATCTAGCCTTACTTGTCTCAGATACTCTGACCTCCCTGGCAGCGTTCCTACAGAAGGAGGTCCAAGGCCACTTCTCTTTAGAGATAACTGTGGATTGGGCCTTCCTGTTCTCGAAGGAAGTAGAGTACATTAGGAGGAGATCTGCTCAGCAGCTGTTCTTTATGTTGACCCCAAATCTCTCCCTCATAACTTTCATGCTCTGGTCTGTATTCTGTGCCCCTGTTTGAAACCCGCCTGATGGTGCAGTGACTGGACAGCTCTTCAGAGATACCTAAAGGCAGCTGTCCTCTGACAAAAGTGTGGGACCTGGTCAGCAGCTGTCTGTGAGCTGCTCTGTTGAGTGATTTAGTGAAACTGCTTGGGTTCAGATCCTAGTTCAGTCACTGATGAGTTTGTGACCTGGAGTCTGTTTGTACCTTGGTTTACTCTCCTGAGAAGTGAAGATAATGATAGAACAGTGCCACTTAAAGTGGCATTGGACCTGTGGCTGTCTGTGGTGAGATAAGGAGCTTACACCAGCAGCAACAAGACACAGAGCACGGCCTTCAGTTCAGCTGACTTCTGTTGGATTGTTTTTTCTTTATTTTTTGATAGCAAGATTTTCTCAGTGAAGGAAGTAGCATGTTGATTGACACTTAGGCATGATAACCTGGCCCTGTTGGTCACTGGTAACTTCAGCGTGCTACTTGGTGTCTTTGAGGAGCCTAGGCCTCGGGTGGTTGTGAGGTTAAACCAGGGGTGCGTGCAGAGTGCCAGGCCTTGTCTACAAGAGACTGTCGCCTTCCTTCTCTGTGTCAGTGGTGTTGGTGTAGACCAAGAGGACTTCCCTGCTTTCTAGTAGGCCTGAGCTGGGATGGAGGCAGAAGTCTGGCACGTGACAGCACTACAGCGTGTGGAGGGGTGCGGAGGGCGGCGTGTGGAGGGGTGGGAGGGCGGCGTGTGGAGGTGTCGGAGGGCGGCGTGTGGAGGGGTGGGAGGGCGGCGTGTGGAGGTGTCGGAGGGCGGCGTGTGGAGGGATGAGGAGGGCAGCGCTGGCCAGGCTCACGGGGCTTTCCCCAGACCCTGTTACCAGCTTATAGCTGGCTGCGTGTCAGCTTTCTCTGTACTCTGTTTTTGGTTTTGTTTTTTTAAAACAGATGATTGTTTTAACCTGAATTTTGAAACTTAAGCTTCATATTGATAATTTCTAGCTTTGAAAGCCTTTCATTGTTTTGTGATTGCAACTGGAAATTAGGAAAGGATGCAGGATTCATTTGCATTTTAACTGTTAGTTGAGATTCTGTCCTAAATGAGCACAGCTCCATTTTGCATTGAATGCACTTGGTCCTCCCTGAGCCACAGTGGGGCTACAGTAGGATTGATACACTTTACACAATCCCATTTAAGAAGCAGAAATTCAAACTGAGCCCAGTGGTACGTGCTTGTAGTCCCACCTACTTTGGAGGCCGAGGCAAGAATCAGTTGAGCACAGGAGTTTGAGGCTGCACCGCACCATGATCACACCTGCAAATAGCCACTGCAGTCCAGCCTGGAATCACAGCAAGAACCTGGCTCTTAAAATTTATTTTTAATAAAATAAAGTTCACTGTTCAAGTCTTGCTGTTTATAGTAATGCTTGCTGAACATGTTTTATGAAATCCAGTCCCACTCAAAACCAGAAAACACAAATGTATAAGCAGGATCTGCCTAGACCCTGCAGGGGTGAGTCTGTTCACTGTTGTTAACCACCATCCTGCTCCCTCAGCACATGGGCGTATTCACGTTCCACTGCAAAAACAAAAAAACCCTGGGAGTCTGACAAAGATCATCTTGTAATGATAAGCCTAGAAGTATTTTCTTTTAAGCTATATTGAACAAAAATGTTTAAACTGCATAAAAGTGCTTGAATTTATAGTGTCCATCCAAACATTGAGAAATATGAGCCATACACATGTGTATGGGGGTCATGGGCTGTTCCTTGTTTATTTTTACCCCGTTCAGACAAAAAAGGTATTTGACAATTTTGCCCAAGTGGTTTCTTGCCCTCTCTAGTGTTTCTTTTGAAGGACATCAGGAGATAAACGTATTTGTTACTGGCTCTTCATTAGTGCAAGTTAATGCTGTCTCACATTTGTAACGATGTGGTTTATCGGTGTTGTTCAGATCTCTGCTGCCCCTTCAGAGACTGTCCTCATGATGTGCCTAGGATTCCGGGGAGGGCAGAACCTTGGGCTGCATGGAGGAGGCTGAGGATGAGGGGCATACCTGTGTCCTGTTGGGCCCCAGCGCACGCTCGTGGGGAGGCAGACCAGGAGTCTGACAACTCTGTGGTGCTGTGCTGCGTGGCCCTTCAGAATGGTGCCAGACTGAAACAAGACTTTCTGTGCTGGCAGAAAGCACAGCAAATCGATTTTCAAAGAAGTTTATGGCTATAATTTAAGGCCTGAGTTTTTCACAGTCTGCTGTTAACTAACTTTGCACTTCTCTCACCCCTCAGTTGCCACCTTCCAGAGAAGAGGTACGAGATGACAAGACAACCATAAAGTGTGAAACCTCCCCGCCTTCCTCCCCGAGAGCCCTTCGGTTAGACCGGCTGCACAAAGGGGCGCTGCACACCGTCAGCCACGAGGACATCAGGGACATAAGGAAGTAAGGAGCCTGCAGCAGCCCCATGCAGAGCGCACCTGTCTTTTCGTTTCTGGTGTTGAGAAATCGACAAATCTTTCCTTGAGTAAAACAGTGATTTTGTAGAATTACCCATTAATTCAGTTGAGTGTATTTACATGTTACACTTAGAATGCTTACCACTGCTCTGGGCTATAGTGAAATCCAGCAGAAGATGCATATCTGTTTGGGCAAGCTTAGTTTGGAAAGAAAGGAGTTAAATGATATCAGCAAGTTTTGGAAAAACTTCATGTCTTCAGAGTCTATAAATTGACTACTTTCTATTCTTGATGGAGAGTTTGGCAAGCAGATGACAGGCTTGGTATTGGAACCGCTCTCTAGGACAACCCGTGCCTTTCTTGTGCCTTTTGT
This sequence comes from Homo sapiens, assembly GCF_000001405.40. Taxonomy (NCBI): domain Eukaryota; kingdom Metazoa; phylum Chordata; class Mammalia; order Primates; family Hominidae; genus Homo; species Homo sapiens. Next base: position 110,661 of record NW_021160005.1, read on the forward strand.
AAACTGTGGAGAGTTCCAAGTTGTACTTACCAATTTAGTGAGTGTCCCCTCTCAGGAAACCAATCAGCTGTTTTGTTACTAGTATGCTATCTATGCTATCTTTTTTTTTCTTTTTGAGATAGAGTCTTGCTCTGTTGCCCAGGCTGGAGTACAGTGGCATGATCTTGGCTCACCACAACCTTCACCTCCCGAGTAGCTGGAACTACAGGCGCACACCACCATGCCCGGCTAATTTTTGTATTTTTAGTAAAGATGGGGTTTCACCATGCTGGCCAGGCTGGTCTCGAACTCCTGAGCTCATAATCTGCCCGCCTCGGCCTCCCAAAATGCTGGGATTACAGGCGTGAGCCACCGCGCCCGGCCCCTCTTTTTTTAAATTCCATTGGATTTCGGTTCTGTGCCAGGCAATATGCAGGGGAGGCATGTATATTAATTTTTGCAGTAACCCCTCAGGCAGTTAACATTGCCACGGTTCTCAGCTGAGTAGAGTAATGCTCAGGGCGGTTGTGGGAGCTGCTGGAGGGGAAGCAGGCAGACCATTGGGCTTTGGCACCTGATGGCGCGGAGTCAGGGCCTCCCCTGAAGGGGAGGGGAGCTCCATGTCAGAGAGAGTCTCAGCTGCCCAGAATGGGTCTCCGCGCTGGCCTCGCCGGGAGTCTGCCTTTATCATGCATGATGCACTTGGTGAGGAAGATGTGTGTGAAAGAGACTGGAAGTGCTTGTAGGGAAGTTTGCGACTGTTAATATGTGAAGTATCCTACAAGGGCACATAGTAAAGATCCGTTTTCTTTCCTCGAAGCTCCACAGGCTCCCAGGATGGTCCCGTGAGCAACCCCAGCAGTAGCAACAGTAGCCAGGACTCGCTCCACAAAGCCCCAAAGAAGAAAGGCATTAAGTCCTCCATTGGCCGCTTGTTTGGCAAGAAAGAAAAGGGCCGACCTGGACAAACTGGCAAAGAAGCATTAGGACAAGGTTGGTTGGTTTTCCGCACCCTTCTCAGCACCCAGGGGTCGGGGAGGAAGGCACTGCCTTCGGTGCCATCAGTTCCCACGCGGTGCTCCAGGAGCCGTGTGCTCTCCAGGGAGCAGCAGCTGTGAAGGCATGGGAGCTAGAGAGCAGCAGTTTATGCTCACTTGCCACTCAGGTACAACACATTTCCTGTCTTGAGCATTTCCGTCTTGGGCATTTGGTTGTCTAGTCAGAAACTTAGCCTTAAGAAATGATTTAAATCTGAACCTGCAAATATTCATCTGCCTATTTATGAAAACATAGAGCTTTGTCATGCTGATTTTTACTTCTGGGCTGTTCTGCTTCCTCACAGCTGGTGTTTCCGAGACGGATAACTCATCTCAGGATGCCTTGGGACTTAGCAAATTGGGGGGACAGGCTGAAAAAAATCGTAAACTTCAAAAAAAGTAAGCTTTGTGTTATTTCTTCATCTCATTGAATGGTTTTCAGTTGTGCCTAAGCTCTAACTAGTGTTTGTTAATTATAATAGCTAGCTATGTATATATACATTATATTCTGAAAGCTTTACCTACAGCCTTAATTAAGCCGTACTTTCTGGAAGATTTAGTGTTTGTGAAATTTCGAAGAAACTCACACTGGTATCCCTATCATCTTGGAAAGCTGTCCAACCAGGAGATAGGGTGGGTGAGAGTTGGACTCAGCTGCCTGAGCACTGGAGTCGGCCCTGGCGCCTGCCCAGGTTCACTTTGTGACGTTGAGGAAGTGGCCTAGCATCTCTGTGCTTCAGTTTTCTCATCTGTAAAGTGGGGATCCTAGTAGTACATACCTTGTATGGCTTTTATGAGAATTAAATGGGATAATGTGCATACAGTTCTTTAAACAGTACCAGCAAGTCATAAACAAGTTGTAGCTGTGGCCAGTGCAGCGACTGTTGCTTGCCAGCATTCAGGATTTGCTCTTCATACTGCTGGTCTGTCCGAAACAGTCGCCATGCTGCATTTTTCTCTCTTCCGTAGATCGGGTAGTTTTATCTCAAATAGACTCCTGATTTTATAGCCCGTTTATTCAGCTTTAATTCTAAACTAAGTCTGCTTCTGACAATAAGCTCTAATATTTGGGATGGCTTTGAACAAAGGAGAACAGGCATTGTGATGCCCCAGGGTGAGGACGTGGAGGAATCGGGTTTCTGTCCCTGGGCCTTCTGGGATGCGGGGTGAGTTGCGTGTTGGCTGACTGTAGATGAAGTAGATAGGCTGAGACAGTGCCCAAGTGAGCCAACAAATGTAGAACAAAACTAAACCCAGTTCTGCAATAAAATAGGCAGTTTGTGTAGTCCATGGGATAAGGGCTGAGCTTGAGCAATGTGGAAGATGGTAATGCCAGGCTTACAGGGTGAAACTTGACGGGCTGTATGATGACTGTGACTGTGGGAAAAATCATCTGGCCACTTTTAAGTGCCCTGAGAAACCAGTGCTCATCTGGAAATTGGGGCCCAAAGATGCACCAGAGCCTATGGGGACCCTCTCCCCTAGAGGCCCCTTTGCCTTTAGCCCCTAGAGTTGCCAGCTGATTTTTTTCTGTTGTGAAATCTATCTCATTTTAGTTTTCTTTTCAAAGCCTTTATAAATGCTGTATTGATTATATTTTAGGTAAAATGCTTTTATGTTAACAGTACCATAGGAATACTCAGTTTTTTGGTTCCCTGTAAATGGAAATTTATAGAAACCACGTAACAGCAAAATCTGATTTGAACATTGCTATGCTTGAACTGTGTAAGAATTTTTTTTTTTTTTTTTGAGATGGAGTCTCGCTCTGTCACCCACGCTGGAGTGCAGTGGCGCAATCTCAGTTCACTGCAAGCTCTGCCTCCTGGGTTCACACCATTCTCCTGCCTCAGCTTCCCGAGTAGCTGGGACTTACAGGCGCCCGCCACCACACCCGGCTAATTTTTTGTATTTTTAGTAGAGACGGGGTTTCACCATGTTAGCCAGGATGGTCTTGATCTCCTGACCTCGTGATCTGCCCGCCTCAGCCTCCCAAAGTGCTGGGATTACAGGCGTGAGCCACCGCGCCCAGCCAAGAATGTTTTCAAATAACTTGGGTAATTGCCATTTGGCCCTGTGAAACTTAATGTTAGAGCTAAACTTTCTGCCTCCTGGAAACATGCTAGGAAAATTTCATTCCTTAGATTTTGCTAATGTTACTGTTTTTATGATAGTAAGTATGAGGAAGTGAAATAAAACTTCTCTGTCCTTTATGTTGTGCTTGGGATCCATGTGGAAGTTCTGAAATGTACCAGCTCCTTAGTGGGGAAAATTTCCAAGTACAAAGATTATTTGTCTGACTATAGAGGGCAGTTTCGTTTCTTTCACTTAAACTGAGATAAAACTGATTTTAGAAAAAGTGCTTTATTTATTGATTGATTGATTGAGACGAAGTCCCTCACTCTGTCGCCCAGGCTGGAGTGCAATGGCACGATCCTGGCTCACTGCAACTTCCGCCTCCTGGGTTCAAGTGATTCTCCTGCCTCAGCCTCCCAGCAGCTGGAATTACAAGCGTGTGCCACCGTGCCCAGCTAATTTTTTTGAATTTTTAGTAGAGATGGGGTTTCACCATGTTGGCCAGGCTTGTTTCGAATTCCTGACCTGAAGCGATCTGTCCACCTCGGCCTCCCAAAGTGTTGGGATTACAGGCGTGAGCCACCACGCCTGGCCTAAAATGTCTACATATAAATGTGAAAAAAAGTTTGCGTTTTCCAGAAAAAGTATTGTGTGAATACAGTTTAATATTTATGCCATCTTAAGAACGAACGTATATTTCTCAGAATTATTTTCTTCTTATTAACCCCTGATTTAACTCAAAGGTGTGTTTTAACTGCAAAATTTACACAGCCAGATGCTTTCACTTACAGAGAACTTAAGGAATCTGGTGAGTTTGGTGGCAAGCTGATTTCAAGTTTTGTAAGACACAGCATGGTGGGCGCGTTTGGTGCCTGGGATACGTAGTAATGAACCCGCAAGTCGGGGCTGGCTGTCCTAGAGCCATTCGTCAGCTTTGATAGCGCATAGTGCCTCCACAGCACTTTTAGAATTCCCCAGCGTTCTTGAAACACCATCTCTTGAAGTAACCTTGCTTTTAAAGTGTTCCCTTTTCATGTTCTCCTTTTTGTCTTCGTAGTGCTTTCTCAGGGTAAGCAGACTCGGGAGATTTGCTGGGCTGAGTGTGGGCAGTCACCAGCCACAGGCTCTATGCTGAGCTTCCTGAGAGGATCTTTTTATTTTTTTATTTTTGCCCTTGCAAAATAAAAGAAGGCCCTTGCACCGTTGCCCAGGCTGAAGTGCAGTGGCGCGTTCACCACTCACTGCAGCCTTGACCTTTATTTTTAGTAGAGACAGAGGTCTCAATATGTTGACCAGGCTGGTCTTGAACTCCTGGCCTCAAGTGATCTTCCTGCCTCTGCCTCTCAAAGTGTTGGGATTACAGGCATGAGCCACCACACCTGGCCCAAGGATCTTTTTAGTTTTGCATGAGAAATGCTGACTCCATCCATTTCTCATCAGGGCGACCCTACATCTTTCCTCAGGACTCTGCCAGTGTGCCATGGCAATGGAGCATGGGAGGGGCTATGCCTGGGTCACAGAACTGTACTTGTGGTGGTGGTGTTTTTTTATGGGTTTTGGAGAGGGTCCTGCTCTGTCACCCAGGTAGCAACTGTACCTGTGAAAGCAAGTCTTGTTCACTCTATGCAGGGTGCCAGAGGATTGAAAAGCTTCAGTCTTAAGAAAGTAAGGCAATATATTTAGTTTCGATAGTTGAGAGAAAGTACTTCCTCCCATCCCTTACATACTGTTTGATCAGCAAAAACTCACACAAGCTTCTCATTATGAAAGACAACTTTACCGTTATGCTATGTCTTAATTATAAAATGCACAACATTATTCACAAATTATATGACCTTTTTGCATTATAGCATTCTCAGTAGCAAGTGAAAGAGCCAAGTCTGAGATCAAGCAATAAAGGAGGAATGTAGTTGTTCATGTAAATGAACGGCCCAGAGGGCCAGGGTGGAGTGGCTTCAGCCATCTCCAGGCTCTGGACTCTGCATCCCCTCGACACAGGGGCCTTCTTCCCGTGATTGGAACAGTCCCCCCAGAGAAAACAGGGGCTCTGGTGTTCCCACCTGGAGTGCCAGCCCAGGGGCATGGTCCCATGTTTGGTCTTACAGATCATGGACTGGTCTGATAGGGGAGGGGAGCCAGGACACACACCGAGGCCTGGGCCCGCCACCCAGATGGGGTCTCCTCTGCCTTCTCCCTAACTTCCTGTGACTCTTAGACACATCCGTCTACCTCCACTGTCTTAACACTGTTTCCACTGTTGCCTCTGGACCCAGAAGCATCTCCATTCTGGAAAAGACTTTTTATAAAAGCTAGTGATCATTGCCAGGAAGAGGGTACTGGTGAAGTCTAGGACAGTGTACACCAGTCTCCAAGTAATAGAAGTAAAGAATTATTTTTTGACAATTATTTTTATTTACAGTGAGTATCTATTACATGTTAAAAAACGAAGTCTCTGGCAGAGTGCCAAGGCTGAGCGTAAGTTGGGAACCCTCCTGACTTGGCAGCAGTCAGATCCTCCCTGCGCCTTGGCCAGGCCCCGGACGCTCAAAGCCTTAGCAGTTAACCAGATTGTTAGCGTTCAGAGCTTTTTCTGGGATTGATGTGGCAGGAATTACCTGTACTACTTCCTAGACCCACTGGTGTGTGAAGGAAGCTCTACTGGCTGTCTTTGAGTGGCATTTGTCCCAAGGGAACGGAAGGCAGGGTTTCAGCCACCACCTGGTGATTGGCGCCATGCAGCGCGCCCTTCCTCCCAACCTCTTCATTTCGCATCTTGCGATACCACTTCATACTCCTAAGAAAAGTCTGCTGCTATTGAAATGTATTGAAGAGCCAATATCAAATTTTTAAAAATAAGAGATTCTATGGTATATGTCTTATGAAATTATTATAGAAAAAATGGACTAAAAGCAGCCTAGGGATGTTTGAATGACTTGGGGATATCTGTACTTGCAAACCAAATGTATGTGTCCTCTCCATTACAATGACACCTTCTCTCTGAGACTTTTTATTTTTTAAAACAATTAGCCTCTTTGAAAGCCTTGTAGGTAAACACTTGAGAAATAAGATGAGATTCACCAAGCTTATAGTGTTATTTCTGAAATACCTATGTTAGAGAGCATTATGTTAACCTCTGATTCTGTAAGGAGACGGGGATTCTGTAGAGAGTCAGAGGGAGTCATTCAGTATTTTCTCACTCAGGCATTCTTTGTAGTATGCACAGAACTAGTGTGAAATGGATGGTGTTGATACTGTTAAAGCTGTAGAAGATGAAAGGAAAATGATGAGCATGTATAGTCGTCTCTCAGAGTCTATGGGGGATTGGTTCCAGGACCCCTCCTGAATACCAAAATCCATGGAAGCTTAAGTCTCCTGTATGAAATGGCATGGTATTTCCGTATCACGTAGGCATAATCTCCTGTAGACTTCAAATCATCTCTAGGTTCTTTACAATACCCAACGGAATGTAAGTGCTATGTAAATAGCTGTTGTACTGTATTGGTTTTTTTTGTTTTTTCCCACTGAATATTTTTGATCTGCAGTTGGTTGACTGTGTGGATGTGGAAGCCGCAGATACAGAGGGCAGACTGTATACTGCTAGACTTTTGCAAATGCTCAGAACACTTCGTTAACTAATTTTATATATGTGTATAATAGTGGTTCCTTGATTTTGTTTTTGCTGGTTGTAATTTTTTTTTTTTTTTAGAGATAGGGTCTCACTCTGTTGCCTAGGCTGGAGTGCAGTGGCACAGTCATGGCCTACTGTAGCCTTGACCTCCTGGGCTCAGGCAATCCTTCCACCTCAGCCTCCCAAGTAGCTGAGACTACAGGCATGCGTCACCATACCTGGCTGATTTTTTTTTTTTTTTTTAATTTTTGTAGAGATGCATCTCATTATATTGCCCAGGCTGCTCTTGAACTACTGGCCTCAAGCAGTCTTCCTGCCTCAGTCTCCCGAGTAGCTGGGACTACAGGGGTGTGTCACTACACCTTGCAAATTTTTAAAATTTTTTGTAGAGTTGGGGTCTCGCTGTGTTGTCTAGGCTGGTCTTGAACTCCTGGGCTCAAGTGGTCCTCCTGCCTTGGCCTCCCAGAGAGCTGGGATTACAGGTGTGAGCTACCATGCCTGGCTGATTCTTTAATTTTCAATATCTTCTCCTTTATAGGCATGAATTGCTGGAGGAAGCCCGGAGACAAGGTTTACCTTTTGCCCAATGGGACGGGCCAACGGTTGTGGTCTGGCTAGAGGTACATCCTTCATTTAACATGCAGTTGCGTGGGTTACAGTATGTGAACTTACTGTTCTACTTTGTAGACTGTACCTCACTGTGCTGCCTTCCTTCCGCTTTCCGCCTCCAGCTCTGGGTTGGGATGCCAGCCTGGTATGTGGCTGCCTGCCGAGCAAACGTGAAAAGCGGGGCCATCATGTCGGCCCTGTCCGACACAGAGATCCAGCGTGAGATTGGCATCAGCAACCCCCTGCACAGGCTGAAGCTGAGGCTGGCCATCCAGGAGATCATGTCGCTGACCAGCCCGTCTGCCCCGCCCACATCTAGAACGGTACGTTCAGAGACAACCCCTGCATTCTTTGGAAACAGGGAATGCCTCTCTGAAGGTATCACTGCCCTGTTTACATTGCTTCTCCAGTTCCTTAACAGCATATGAAGTATAGTTCTAATTCAAAATTTTAGCATCACATACATTAGAACTTTTAATTTTGGGGAATTGGATGGTCAAAAGAAACTTTATTAAATGCTTTTATGAAAGATTGGCTAGAATGGCTTCATAGTATAAAAATATGAGCTTTTTTAAACATAGAAAAGCAATTACAAATTTAAATATGGAAATATGAAATACGAAAATACCAAAAAAAATTGGTAGAGATGGGGGTCTCGCTGTGTTGCCCAGGCTGGTCTTGCACTCCTGGGCTCCAAGCAGTCCTCCCACCTCAGCCTTCCAATGTGCTGGGATTACAGGCGTGAGCCACCACACCCAGCTGAGTTTATCAAAATTGAATCAGTCTAAGGGCCTCTTGAAGGAAAAAGTTAATATTTTAAGGACACATTTTATAATTAAATGTTTTGAATTTCATTTTTCAGTTTTCATGATTCAAACTGAGTAATTAACATTTGTACTATATATAAAGATATTTGCTAAGCCAATTATAGTGTATTTTTAAATGTTACTGGAATATAATATACATATAGAGAAATGCACGTATGAGTGAACAGTTAAATGAATCTGTAAAGTCAGCATCCCCTGTGTGGTCCACACCTACATTGAAAAATGGGATCTGACCAGGGCTCTGGAGGCCTCCTGCTCCTTCTGAGGCACTGCCCCTTCCCTAGGGATGAGTGCCTGGCTCCTGGTGCCATAGACTGCTCTGTTAGTTTCGTTCTTCATGTGTATAAACAAGATCATGTAGTATTCACTCTCTTGTGTCTGGCTTCTTTCACTTAATGTTATGTCTGTGAATTCATCCGTATCATTCCATGTGTAAGTAGCATCTTGAGTAAAATTTTTCTGTCTAGTTCAGAGGACTGGCTCTTCCAGGCTTCTTAGAAGCACCCATTTATTTATTTATTTAAGTTTTTTATTTTTTGGAGGCAAGGTCTTACTCTGTCACCCAGGCTGGAGTGCAGTGGCTCAATCGTAGCTCACTGCAGCCTCAACCTCTTGGGCTCAAGCGATCCTCCCACCTCAGCCTCCCAAGTAGTTGGGACTACAGGTGTGCACCACCACACCCAGCTAATTTCTAAAAACTTCTTAGAGACAGGGTCTTGCTGTGTTGACCAGGCTGGTCTGGAACTCCTGGCCTCCAGTAGTCCTCCTGCCTCAGAGTCCCTGAGTGCTGAAATTACAGGTGTGAGCCACCATGCCCAGCCAGAAGCATCCATTGAAATATAGGTGACATACTAGTAAGAGATACTTGTTATCCCACCGTCAAAACTGATCCCTAAGGAATTTTTGTATTTTTTGTAGAGATGGGTCTCACTTTGTTGCCTAGGCTGGTCTGGAACTCCTGGGCTCAAGCGATCCTCCTGCCTCAGACTCCCAAGTAGCTGTGACTACAGGCATGCACAGCCATGCTTGGAAAAGGTCCCTAAAGAATTCTAATCCTCCCTTCCCCATCATTCCAGTTTGCGGACATTTTTTAAAATAAAAACTAAAGGGGAAAATAAAGATGAGATCACTGGTTGCCTTGTAACCAGTGTTTTACTGTATTTGATTTATTTGGCCTGTAGGTGTTTTCCATTTGGGGAGCTAAAGACCCTGGGAGCTCAGGATTTCAAGCAGTTCACAAATCTGCAAATGTTCATCCAACATGAGCTGTACTTATACAGTTTCTCTCCATGTGGGAAGTCCCTCAAAGTCCTTAAGAAGGGTTATCCTACTTGAAAAAGAAGAACTATGTTAATAAAAACAAGAATGGTTATTGGGAGATAAGGGCAGGCCAACTCCAGATTTATAAAGTTGAGACTTTTTACACTGGCTGGATTCCCAGTCTCTGCTTTTAGTCTCCTCAGGAGAAAACAAATTCTTGTTGCAATGAAGAGCCTCACACATTTCTCCAAGGAGCACGTCAGCGCTGGATTTAGGGCTCCCAGTTACCTTACAAAAAAAGTTTTGAGGGGTTTTACTTGTTTTATTTATTTTTTTCTTCTTAATGAACAAATTATGGTGATGAACAATAAGCTTTGTCCTCCCCTGTTGCTCCAAGAGCTCCTTTCCCACAGCCTGCCTCAGGAGCAGTGTCTGAGCTCTTCCCTGGTTGTTTCACATGACAGTGGCCTTGCTGAAAATGAAGGTGCTGAGTGGTTTCTCCCATGTTTATCCACTGTCTTCAGTAATGATGGAGAACACCTCACATAAGGCAGACTCTTCACACCATGTCAAAATGCAAGGAAAAAATCTCCCTCAAGTAGACACACAGGCCACTGTCTGTCTCGTGTCTGGTTCTGATGGCTGCACAGAGCCATCGACACTGCTTAGCAGTGACCCCCTCTGCCCTGTGGCCTGCCTTCAGCCTTTCAGGCCGTCACGGAACATCTGCGAGAAAGCCCTCCAATAGCCAAAGCAAGAGTTTCATGCTGGGTTCTTTGTTGTTAATCTGCTTTAAATATATTGAATCAATAGTTACTTGAGAATTACTCAAAGTTTCCAGAAGTACACAACGTGTTTTCTTCTCTTGATATTTCACATACCTCGGGTAAGCATGGCATCTAAAGCTCTCGTCATCGTGTGCTCTTCTCCTGATGGTGTTGACGACCCAGTGTTAACAGGGAATGGTTATTCTGTACGGGCATCTGAACTGAAAAGTGAGAAGAGCGAACTTTGCCTCCTCGGCCCCTTCTCTGTGCCTGTGGCTTATGCGTGTGCCCCTCTCCTCTTTGTCACTGCTTCCCTTGCCCTGGATGTGGTTGGTGCACTGGGGTCACCTTAGACCACAGGAAATGTCTGGTTAACACACGAAGAGATGGAAACGCTCGCAGCCACGCCGCAAACGGTTAGTCACGCCCCACAGCCTGCACTCCTCCCAGCGCGTTTTCCACTTAAGACCGTCTGGGTTCTTTGCCTTTTTGTTGAAAACAAAATGTTGTTTTCCATTCAGTCGTTCCAGATAAGTATTTCCTTTAGTTATTAGTTGAAATGTGTAAGTAGAATTTGTATTTTATTTTAGATTTTTTCCAGGAACTTCAAGTTGGTAGACTCTGTCTTTTAGAATAGCTTTAATCTAGCTCTCCTTTTGGAGAGATCTCAGTTGAGCCTCCATGTGACTGACTGTGTGGCCCTTTCTCCTTCCATGAATATGCTTGGCACGGAGAGAGTCTGCTCCTTGCATGAGAAGTTGAAATTGTTGGTTTTGCATGAGTTTTGCATGATGCTTTGATAGTCTGAACTTTTTCACTCAGTGAAGCTGCATCTTCCCTGCAGAGTTGCGTTGCCTGCATTACCGAGCTCACCAATACTAATAGTTATGTTCTTTTGCATTCCTAACCACGTAACCCCAGGAAGATGAGGAGGGAAGCTGGGCTCAGGTTGGAGTCTTTCTCTAATATATTCTTCACTACATGTACAGCAGCAAAAAGCAATTGGAGTATGAAAACTTGTGTAATCTACTTTTTTTGATGTTTATAGCATCTTAGTTTATTCGGAGTACAGGATTGTTAATGATTTGAAAGCACTGGTCAAGCAAAACATAGCATCAAAGAGTACGTCTCATGGACAATTTTGAACATTTCTCATATGGTGCCATGGCAGTTATTTTTAATTAATATAGATTGCTTTGTTTAACATATGATCTTGTATACAAAGTCTTGTGGCTTAGGCAGCTTCTGAGATTATGTATGTAATTTCCTGGTAGGGTAATGTTATTACAAGATATACTGATAGGGAAATTGTGCTCTAATAAATTTCCAAACACAAAAATTGGCATAATGACTTTTCCTCTGTGCCTTTGTGTTGATTTTTTACTAAATACTATCCTAATACTATGTCCACTTAAAGATTTTCTTACTAATGGAATCCTAAGGAATTAAGCCTCTTCTTGAGTACTGTATATTTGAATTTTCAGCTTCTCAATTCTTTAACTCACCAAAAACTCTATCCCAACTGTTTTGCATTCTGTATGTTCAGACAGCTTGCCGAAATGTCGTGCGACGCCACTGGCCTTCTGTGGTCAGGGTGTATGTCTCAGTGGCACATTGCAGCCATGAGGCGTGGACAGGCAGTTCTAGAGGCTTTCCCGAATGGACTGTATTTGAGGGCTTCAGAATAATCATTATATATCTGAAAAGAATCAAAAGGATTTTAAATCATAATTTTCCTGATTACGAGGTGATGGTTGAAGCAGCTGTTTCCTTCTCTTGGTACTCCTAAAATCTAGCTCATTAGACTGTCCCCCCACCTTTTTTTATTTTTATTTTTTATTTGTATTTTTTAACAAAATAGAGTAGCTATAATGTGATTCTGTGGGCTTTTTTCTCTCTTGATTTAAGCATTCTGTGCCTCTCCTCCAGATAAATAACCTCATTGTTTAACTTGTTAGATATCCCTTTATAGGACCAATAATGACCATAAATGAATTATACAGGGTACATTTCATAATTACTTAAATTTCAGTATATTTTCCACCAAGGAGCAGAATTTGGTTAATACTTCAGTATGAAATTGCCTGAGTCAGGGACAGGAAGTGTAAATTAAATAAGCTTAACCTTGCTCTTTGCGGTGGAAATATAAACAAGACTGAGCTGTGGTGATGACTCCAGAACTAGCCGACATGCAGTCTAGTGGAAGCTCGTATCACTTTTCCCTCCTTCCTGTCTTCCAGATGGGACTGCCACCTGCTGCCAAGGGCAGTACACAGTGGCCAGCTCTTAAACCAGGGAGAACTTTGAGCTGCGCCGAGAGACTAGGGGAGGAAGACATCAAGGCGTGGTCAAAACCATTTATACCTCATTTAACAAAATTAGTAAGAGTGCTGGCTGCGTGGAGCATCTATGAGCAGGACACCCATGGTCCCCCCGTCATGGAGCTCCCATTTTATGGAGTTCATAAGACTGGGTTGTACTTGTGGCTGTTTCAGTGCTGGGAGTAAACACTGTGCAGTGGGTGTCTCTTCTAGTTCAGATGTTCTCTGGACTGACATCACCTGGTATGTTTTTTTTCCAGAAGGCTGCTAAGGCAGCCCAGGAGAAGAGGTGGGTCTCCCTGGGATGGAGCCTGATCCTTCTGGGAGTTCATGTTATAGGCCACTTCAGGAGTCTGAGCAGAGCATATAATGAGGAAACAGAAACAAGTAGGGTTCTGCTTCCATGCAGTTTTCTATTTAGACAATTCCTTTGTTTAATTTCCCCATTTAAGAATACATAATCAGCAAGCAAGAGAATAATACCAGATATCCCTGCTACATGTATCAGGCCTAGGCCAGGTGTAGTGGCTCACACCTGTAATCCCAGCACTTTGGGAGGCTGAGGCAGGTGGATCGCTTTCAGCCCAGGAGTTCAAGACCAGCCTGGGCAACGTGGGGAAACCCTGTCTCTACAAAAAATATAAAAATTAGCCAGGTATTGTTGGCTTGAGACTGTAGTCCCAGCTGTTTGGGAGGCTTAGGCTGGAAAATCGCTTGAGCCCGGAAAGTGGACGTTACAGTGAGCCGAGATCATGCCACTACACTCCAGCCTGGGTGACAGAGCGAGACCCTGTCTCTAAATAAATAAATAAATATCAGGCCTGTAAGGGTAAGGTTTAGAAGAGTGAATCAAGCATGGTGATGCTGTTAGATAGCTGATAATTACCCAAAAATGTTTGGCATATTTCTCTCTTTTTAGAGAAGGTAGTGAAGCATTTTTTTCTAGTAGAATTTAAACATTCTTTGTTTAAATTAGAGAATTTGAGTTATTGCTTAACTTAAATTTAGAATTTGAGTTATTGCTTCTAGTTTGGACCAAATAACAAATGATACTGGAAGCCATAGTTTCAAGACCAACATGGTGTTAGTTGAGAGTCACTACAAAGATACCATAAGGTAGCTATGACTGGTGACCATAACTTAGTCTTCCTCAGCTGCAGACTTCAGGTACCTCGGGTACCTTCCTTCGATATGTGTGTGTATAGAATGTGTTAGTTCTTTTTCATTGTACACATTTTGCATGCATTCTGTTAGATTTATCCCTGAGGATTTTGCAGGTTTTGATGCCACTGTAAATGATACTTTTTAAATTTCAATTTTCAGTTCATTGCTAGTATTTAGAAATATAGTTCATTTTTATAAATTGGCCTTGCATCCTGCAACTTTGCTTAAACCCACTTATTCTGATAGCTATTTTGTAGATTCCTTTTCTACACTGATAATTTTGTCATCTTCAAATAAAGACAATTTTATTTCTTTTGCAATTTATGTGCTTTTTATTTCTCTTTCTTGACCTCTTACAGTGACTGGGATTTCCAGTACAGTGTAGAATAAAGTGGTGAGAGTGGACATCCTTCGTTTGTTCCTTATCTTAGGAGAAACACAGTCAGTCTTTTTTTTTTTTTTTTTTAAAGAGACAGGGTCTCACCATGTTGCCCAGGCTGTTCTCAAACTCCTGACCTCAAGTGACCCGCCCACCTCTGCCTCCCATAGTGCTGGGATTATAGGCATGAGCCACCATGCCCAGCTGAGCAGTCTTTTACATTAAGTATGATGTTCACTGTAGGGTTTTTGTAAATGCCTTTTATCCAGTTGAGGCACTTTTCTTACATTTCCGGAATGCTTGGAGTTCCATAAATGATGACAAATCTTGTCAAATGCTTTTTCTGCATCTTTTGAGATGATATGGTTTTTTTTCAATCTCTTCATATGGTGAGTTTCATTGATTTTTCTTTTCAAATGTTGAATCAACTTATGTTTCTAGAATAATAAGCCATACTTGTCATGATATCTTATTGTTTTAATATGTTGTTGACTTGGCAATATTTTGTTACATATTTTTGGATCTGCCTGAGGGCTACTGATCTATAGTTTTGTTACATCTTTGGTTTTGCTCTCAGGATGATGCTGGCCTCATAGAATGAGATAAGGTGTTTCAAACTTTTTTGGAACACTTCGTGTAGAATCGTGGTTATTTATTTATTTATTTATGTTGATAAATGTTTGGTAGAATTCACCAGTGAAGCTATCTTGGGTAGAGATTTTCTTTTTTGTATGTTAGAAGATTTATGATTACAACTTCAGGTTCTAATAGAGATACGTGTTACCTGTTTCTGAGAAGCTTTGGTAGTTTATCTTTTAAGAAATTTGTCCATTTCATCTAAGTTGCTTAAAATTGTTCACAGTATTCCCTTATTCTTTCAATGTCTATTGAATCTATATTGATGTCCCCTCTTTGTTGTCATTTTGTGTTTGTTTTTGAGACAAGGTCTCGCTGTGTTGCCCAGGCTGGTCTCAGACACCTGGACTCAAGCCATCCTCCTGCTTCAGCCTCCTGAGTAGCTGAAGTTACCGACATGGCCACCATGCCTGGCTGCCCTCTTTTACTCTTTTTTTTTTTTTCTTTTTTTGAGATGGGGCCTCGCTCTGCTGCCCAGGCTGGAGTGCAGTGGCTCAATCTCAGCTCACTGCACCTCCGCCTCCTGGTTCAAGCAATTTTCATGCCTCAGCCTCCCAAGTAGCTGGGATTACAGGCATGTGCCACCATGCCTAGCTAATTTTTGTACTTTTAGTAGAGAAGAGGTTTCGCCATGTTGGCCAGGCTGGTCCCCTCTTTCATTCTTGATAGTGGTGATTTATATCTTCTGTTTTGTCTTATCTAGTCCGGCTAGGGTTTGTTAATTTGATTGATATTTATGAAGTACTAGATTTTCATTTCACTGGTTTATTTGCTGTTATTTTTCTGTTTTCTGTTTCATTGATTTCTGCTTTTTTACCTTGTTCCTTCTGCTTGCCGTGGATTTCATTCGTTCTTCTAGTTTAAGTTTTAATTTTTTTTAATTTTGAGACAGAGTCTCGCTCTATCTCCCAGGCTGGAGTGCAGTGGCATGATCTTGGCTCACTGCAACCTCCACCTCCTGGGTTCAAGCCATTCTCCTGCCTCAGCCTCCTGAGTAGCTGGAACTGCAGGCATGTACCACCATGCCCAGCTAATTTTTGTATCTTTAGTAGAGATGGGATTTCACTATGTTGGCGAGGCTGGTGTCGGAACTCCTGACCAAAGGTGATCCGCCTGCCTCGGCCTCCCAGAGTGCTAGGATTACAGGTGTGAGCCACTGCACCAGGCTAGTTTAAGTTTTTAAAAGCAGACTCTTGGATCACTGATTTTCGAGGTCTTTCTCATTGATAATCCTTTGTCGTGATTTTTGCTCTCACGGTATTGTTTTAACTGTTTCCCACAATTTTTGAATTTTTTAAAAATTTTCTTTAAATTAAAAATATTTTCTGGTGGGGCAGCAGTGGCTCACGCCTGTAATCCTAGCGGTTTGGGAGGCCAAGGTGGGTGGTGGATCACTTGAGGTCAGGAGTTTGAGACCAGTCTGCCCAACATGTTGAAACCCCGTCTGTACTAAAAATACAAAAATTAGTCAGGTGTGGTGGCTTGTGCTTGTAATCCCAGATACTCGGGAGGCTGAGGCCGGAGAATGACTTGAACCCTGGAGGCGAGGTTGCAGTGATCCGAGGTCGCGCTACTGCACTCCAGCCTGGGCGACAGAGGGAGCAATTTCCCCTTGTAATTTCTTGCTGTGAATTATTTAGAAGTATGCTAATTTTTAAATATTTAGTAGGGGGTTCTAGATAGCTTTTTATTATTGATTTCTAATTTCTGTTGAAGTCAAGAGAATGTACCTTGATTTCAGTCTCTTTAAGTATGTTGAGATTTGTCTGTCTTTGAGAATATACTATACAGACATTAAAAGCATATATATTCTGTTGTTGGGTGGCATGTTCTATATTCTGTTGTTGGGTAGAGTGTTCTATATTCTGTTGTTTGGTGGCGTGTTCTATATTCTGTTGTTGGGTGGCATGTTCTATATTCTGTTGTTGGGTGGCATGTTCTATATTCTCTTGGGTGGATTGTTCTATATTCTGTTGTTGGGTGGATTGTTGTATATTCTGTTGTTGGGTGGTGTGTTCTATATTCTGTTGTTGGGTAGCGTGCTCTGTCTTCTGTTGTTGGGTGGCGTGTTCTATCTTCTGTTGTTGGGTGGCGTGTTCTATATTCTGTTTTTGGGTGGATTGTATATTCTGGTGTTGGGTGGATTGTTCTATCTTCTGTTGTTGGGTGGAGTGTTCTATATTCTGTTGTTGGGTGGAATGTTGTCTATTCTGTTGTTGGGTGGATTGTTCTATATTCTGTTGTTGGGTGGTGTGTTTTATATTCTGTTGTTAGGTAGCGTGTTGTATATTCTGTTGTTGGGTGGCGTGTTCTATATTTTGTTGATGGCGTGTTCTATATTCTGTTGTTGGGTGGATTGTTCTATCTTCTGTTGTTGGGTGGCGTGTTCTATATTCTGTTGTTGGGTGGATTGTTCTATCTTCTGTTGTTGGGTGGCGTGTTGTATATTCTGTTGTTGGGTGGCGTGTTCTAAATTCCGTTGTTGGGTGGATTGTTCTATATTCTGTTTTTGGGTGGATTGTTCTATATTCTGTTGTTGGTGTAGTGTTCTATATTCTGTTGTTGGGTGGCGTGTTCTATATTCTGTTGTTGGGTGGCGTGTTCTATATTCCGTTGTTGGGTGGATTGTTCTATATTCTGTTGTTGGGTGGATTGTTCTGTATTCCGTTGTTGGTGTAGTGTTCTATATTCTGTTGTTGGTGTAGTGTTCTATATTCTGTTGTTGGTGCAGTGTTCTATATTCTGTTGTTGGTGCAGTGTTCTATATTCTGTTGTTGGGTGGCGTGTTCTATATTCCGTTGTTGGGTGGATTGTTCTATATTCCGTTGTTGGGTGGATTGTTCTATATTCTGTTGTTGGGTGGATTGTTCTATATTCTGTTGTTGGTGTGGTGTTCTATATTCTGTTGTTGGTGGAGTGTTCTACATTCTGTTGTTGGGTGGCATGTTCTATATTCTGTTGTTGGGTGGATTGTTCTATATTCCGTTGTTGGTGTAGTGTTCTATATTGTGTTGTTGGGTGGATGTTCTATATTCCGTTGTTGGATGGCATGTTCTATCTTCCATTATTGGGTGGATTGTTCTGTATTCTGTTGTTGGGTGGCATGTTCTATATTCTGTTGTTGGGTGGCATGTTCTATCTTCTGTTGTTGGGTGGCGTGTTCTGTCTTCTGTTGTTGGGTGGCGTGTTCTGTATTCTGTTGTTGGGTGGCATGTTCTATCTTCTGTTGTTGGGTGGCGTGTTCTATCTTCTGTTGTTGCGCGGCATGTTCTGTATTCTGTTGTTGGGTGGCGTGTTCTGTATTCTGTTGTTGGGTGGCGTGTCCTATCTTCTGTTGTTGGGTGGAGTGGTCTATCTTCTGTTGTTGGGTGGAGTGTTCTGTATTCTGTTGTGTGGAATGTTGTATATTCTGTTGTTGGGTGGATTGTTGTATATTCTCTTGTTCGGTGGCGTGTTTTATATTCTGTTGTTGAGTGGCGTGTTGTATATTCTGTTGTTGGGTGGTGTGTTCTATATTCTGTTGTTGGGTGGATTGTTCTATATTCTGTTGTTGGGTGGCGTGTTGTATATTCTGTTGTTGGGTGGATTGTTCTATCTTCTGTTGTTGGGTGGCGTGTTCTATATTCTGTTGTTGGGTGGCATGTTCTATCTTCTGTTGTTGCGTGGCGTGTTCTATCTTCTGTTGTTGGGTGGATTGTTCTATATTCTGTTGTTGGGTGGCTTGTTCTGTATTCTGTTGTTGGGTGGCATGTTCTGTATTCTGTTGTTGGTGGAGTGTTCTATCTTCTGTTGTTGGGTAGATTGTTCTATATTCTCTTGTTGGGTGACAAGTTCTATATTCCGTTGTTGGATTGTGTGTTGTATATTCCGTTGTTGGGTGGTGTGTTCTATATTCTGTTGTTGGTGGCATGTTCTATATTCTGTTGTTGGGTGGAGTGTTGCATATTCTGTTGTTGGGTGGTGTGTTCTGTATTCTGTTGTTGGGTGGATTGTTCTATATTCCATTGTTGGTGGCGTGTTCTATATTCTGTTGTTGGGTGGAGTGCTGCATATTCTGTTGTTGGGTGGCGTGTTCTATATTCTGTTGTTGGGTGGCGTGTTCTATATTCTGGCGTTGGGTGGCGTGTTCTATATTCTGTTGTTGGGTGGCGTGTTCTATATTTTGTTGGTGGAGTGTTCTATATTCTGTTGTTGGGTGGAGTGTTGTATATTCTGTTGTTGGGTGGCGTGTTGTATATTCTGTTGTTGGGTGGTGTGTTCTATAATCTCTTGCTAGGTAGAGTGTTCTATATTCTGTTGTTGGGTGGCGTGTTCTGTATTCTGTTGTTGGTGGGGTGTTCTATATTCTGTTGTTGGTGGAGTGTTCTGTATTCTGTTGGTTGGAGTGTTCTACTATTGTTGGGTGGAGTGTTCTATCTTCTGTTGGGTGGAGTGTTCTGCTGTTGTTGGGTGGCGTGTTGTATATTCTGTTGTTGGGTGGCGTGTTGTATATTCTGTTGTTGGGTGGCGTGTTGTATATTCTGTTGTTGGTGTAGTGTTCTATATTCTGTTGTTGGGTAGTGTGTTCTATATTCTCTTGTTGGGTGGCGCGTTCTATATTCTCTTGTTGGGTGGCGCGTTCTATATTCTGTTGCTGGGGGGATTGTTGTATATTCTGTTGGGTGGAGTGTTCTATCTTCCGTTGTTAGGTGAAGTGTTCTATATTCTGTTGTTGAGTGGAGCATTCTATCTTCTGTTGTTGGGTGGAGTGTTCTATCCTCTGTTGTTGGGTAGAGCATTCTATCCTCTGTTGTTGGGTGGAGGGTTCTGTCTTCTGTTGTTAGGTGGCATGTTCTATATTCTGTTGTTGGGTGGATTGTTCTATCTTCTGTTGTTGGATGGCGTGTTCTATCTTCTGTTGTTGGGTGGATGGATTGTTCTGTATTCTGTTGGGTGGCGTGTTCTATCTTCTGTTGTTGGGTGGATGGATTGTTCTGTATTCTGTTGGGTGGCATGTTCTATCTTCTGTTTTTGGGTGGAGCGTTCTATCTTCTGTTGGGTGGCGCATTCTATATTCTGTTGTTGGGTGGCGTGTTCTGTATTCTGTTGTTGGGTGGCTTGTTCTGTATTCTGTTGTTGGGTGGCATGTTCTGTATTCTGTTGTTGGTGGAGTGTTCTATCTTCTGTTGTTGGGTAGATTGTTCTATATTCTCTTGTTGGGTGACAAGTTCTATATTCCGTTGTTGGATTGTGTGTTGTATATTCCGTTGTTGGGTGGTGTGTTCTATATTCTGTTGTTGGTGGCATGTTCTATATTCTGTTGTTGGGTGGAGTGTTGCATATTCTGTTGTTGGGTGGTGTGTTCTGTATTCTGTTGTTGGGTGGATTGTTCTATATTCCATTGTTGGTGGCGTGTTCTATATTCTGTTGTTGGGTGGAGTGCTGCATATTCTGTTGTTGGGTGGCGTGTTCTATATTCTGTTGTTGGGTGGCGTGTTCTATATTCTGGCGTTGGGTGGCGTGTTCTATATTCTGTTGTTGGGTGGCGTGTTCTATATTTTGTTGGTGGAGTGTTCTATATTCTGTTGTTGGGTGGAGTGTTGTATATTCTGTTGTTGGGTGGCGTGTTGTATATTCTGTTGTTGGGTGGTGTGTTCTATAATCTCTTGCTAGGTAGAGTGTTCTATATTCTGTTGTTGGGTGGCGTGTTCTGTATTCTTTTGTTGGTGGGGTGTTCTATATTCTGTTGTTGGTGGAGTGTTCTGTATTCTGTTGGTTGGAGTGTTCTACTATTGTTGGGTGGAGTGTTCTATCTTCTGTTGGGTGGAGTGTTCTGCTGTTGTTGGGTGGCGTGTTGTATATTCTGTTGTTGGGTGGCGTGTTGTATATTCTGTTGTTGGGTGGCGTGTTGTATATTCTGTTGTTGGTGTAGTGTTCTATATTCTGTTGTTGGGTAGTGTGTTCTATATTCTCTTGTTGGGTGGCGCGTTCTATATTCTCTTGTTGGGTGGCGCGTTCTATATTCTGTTGCTGGGGGGATTGTTGTATATTCTGTTGGGTGGAGTGTTCTATCTTCCGTTGTTAGGTGAAGTGTTCTATATTCTGTTGTTGAGTGGAGCATTCTATCTTCTGTTGTTGGGTGGAGTGTTCTATCCTCTGTTGTTGGGTAGAGCATTCTATCCTCTGTTGTTGGGTGGAGGGTTCTGTCTTCTGTTGTTAGGTGGCATGTTCTATATTCTGTTGTTGGGTGGATTGTTCTATCTTCTGTTGTTGGATGGCGTGTTCTATCTTCTGTTGTTGGGTGGATGGATTGTTCTGTATTCTGTTGGGTGGCGTGTTCTATCTTCTGTTGTTGGGTGGATGGATTGTTCTGTATTCTGTTGGGTGGCATGTTCTATCTTCTGTTTTTGGGTGGAGCGTTCTATCTTCTGTTGGGTGGCGCATTCTATATTCTGTTGTTGGGTGGCGTGTTCTGTATTCTGTTGTTGGGTGGCCTGTTCTGTATTCTGTTGTTGGGTGGAGTGTTGTATCTTCTGTTGTTGGATGGCATGTTCTATCTTCTGTTGTTGGGTGGATTGTTCTATCTTCTGTTGTTGGATGGCATGTTCTATCTTCTGTTGTTGGGTGGATGGATTGTTCTGTATTCTGTTGGGTGGCATGTTCTATCTTCTGTTGTTGGGTGGAGCGTTCTATCTTCTGTTGTTGGGTGGAGCGTTCTATCTTCTGTTGTTGGGTGGAGCGTTCTATCTTCTGTTGGGTGGCACGTTCTGTATTCTGTTGTTGGGTGGCGTGTTCTGTATTCTGTTGTTGGGTGGCGTGTTCTATATTCTGTTGTTGGGTGGCGTGTTCTATATTCTGTTGGGTGGCATGTTCTATATTCTGTTGTTGGGTGGCGTGTTCTATATTCTGTTGTTGGTGGCGTGTTCTACTGTTGTTGGGTGGAGTGTTCTATCTTCTGTTGTTGGGTGGCGTGTTCTATCCTCTGTTGTTGGGTGGAGTGTTCTGTATTCTTTCGTTGGGTAGATTGTTCTATATTCTCTTGTTGGGTGGCATGTTATATTTTCTGTTGTTGGGTGGCGTGTTCTGTATTCTGTTGTTGGGTTACATGTTCTATATTCCATTGTTGGGTGGCATGTTCTATATTCTGTTGTTGGTGGCGTGTTCTATATTCTGTTGTTTGTGGAGTGTTCTATATTCTGTCGTTTGTGGCGTGTTTTATATTCTGTTGGGTGGTGTGTTCTGTATTCTGTTGTTGGGTGGCGTGTTCTATATTCTGTTGTTGGTGGCATGTTCTGTATTCTGTTGTTGGGTGGCATGTTCTATATTCTGTTGTTGGGTAGAGTGTTCTATATTCTGTTGTTTGGTGGATTGTTCTATATTCTGTTGTTGAGTGGCGTGTTCTATGTTCTCTTGTTGGGTGGCGTGTTCTGTATTCTCTTGTTGGGTGGCGTGTTCTATCTTCTGTTGTTGGGTGGCGTGTTCTACATTCCATTGTTGGGTGGAGTGTTCTATATTCTGTTGTTGGGTGGTGTGTTCTATGAAACGTCAGGTCAAGTTTGTTAAGGGTTGTTAGTTTAGGTTTTCTATATTCTTAATTTTTTTCTTTTTTTGCTTCTTTCATCAGTTGCTATGAGAAAGAAGTGTTGAATTTTTTCAACTATAATTGTGAATTTGCCTGTTTCCCCATTTAGTCCTGTTGGTTGTTGCTTTATCTCTTCTCTAAAACTATATTTTAACTGACTTTTACTGATTTTGAAATGGATTTTTTCTTTAGGAAAACAAAGTGTTAAAATGTAAACCAACCAGAGATAATTTTAGTGAGCAGTGTTGAATTGAGCCTTCAAACTTGTTCATGAGTCGTGATCAATCTTTGTCACATTATTATACTAAAAACTATCTCAGAGAGGAAATTTATAGCCAGTTACAGTTTTTTTGTAGTTTGATTTAAAAGTTAAATTTATCACAACGAATCATATATTTTTCATGTTACTATTCCTGTTGTATAAAAATTTTACTAACAAATTTAAAAGGTGAGAAGAGATCAAATTATTTTGCAATTATAAAATTATCATTAGTTTAGCCTTTGAGAATATAGGTAATAGATTAAAAATTCATTTTAAAAATGATATAAACTACTTTTGAGACTTCCTCTGTAACTGACCTTTTCCATTTATGAAAAGCAGACACTCGCCTATGGGGACATGAACCACGAGTGGATCGGCAACGAGTGGCTCCCCAGCCTGGGCCTCCCCCAGTACCGCAGCTACTTCATGGAGTGCCTTGTAGACGCCAGGATGCTGGACCACTTGACCAAGAAAGACCTTCGAGGGCAGCTGAAAATGGTCGACAGTTTTCACAGGTAACTTAATGGAGATAGTTCTTAATAATTGGCTAAGATTTTTCACTGTTACCATCTCTAAATCATCTCTCTTTTCTTCCAAATAGAAACAGTTTCCAGTGTGGAATTATGTGCCTGAGAAGGTTAAATTATGACCGGAAAGAACTGGAAAGAAAAAGAGAAGAAAGTCAGAGTGAAATAAAAGGTTAGTACATGACATTTAATTGATTCGGTTTACTCCTACTTGCTGGTGTGTTTGGAGCCTCAGTGACTTCCTATTTTTCAAAAAATCAAGAAAGGCTAAATTTAAGTGGAGAAAACTAACTAGTCTAGTGTCATTGCAGAGGAGGGCTGGATGAAGTTGAGTGCTTTTGAGATTCTCTTCCACAGCTAGAGAACTGTTCCCTGTGTTCTCACACATCAGTCTGGAGGTTAAATGTCTCCGGCTAGTCGTTTCCTGTGAGTTGAGAGTTTTCCTTTGGTCATGCCCTGTGTACTCCTTCACTCCGAAATGCTGTTCCACACTGTTAGATAACAACAGAGCAAAGCTCACTTGATGATTCAAGTGTGAGAAATATGACTGGGGGCTTATCCAAGGGGTTCAGGAGAACAGGAGAGCACCGTGCAGTTCTGCTCCCGGAGGGGAAGGAGAGGCAGCGTCTGCATTTCAGCTGGTCCTTGAAGAAGGAGGAGGAGCTGCTTAGGGTAAGGAAAAGGCATTTCAGTTGGAAAACACAGGCCAGGGAGGCGTTAGAGGATGTGAGACATTCATCCAGAAGACGTGGAGTTGGTTCTCTTCTCCGTTGGGGAGTCCCTCACTCGTACTCAAATTTATTTGTTTGTTTGTTTATTTATTTATTTAATTTATTTTGAGACAGGGTCTTGCTCTGTAGCCCAGGCTAGGCTGGAGTGCAGTGGTGTGATCACAGCTCACTACAGCCTTGAACTCCTGGGCTCAAGTGCTCTTCCTGCCTTAGCCTCCCTAGTAGCTCCTGGGAGTACAGGTGTGCTCCACCATGCCTGGAATTTTTTTTTTTTTTGTAGAGACAGGGTCTCGCTATGTTGCCTAGGCTGATCTCGAACTTTTGGGCTCAGGGGATCCTCCCACCTTGGCCTTCCAAAGTGTTGGGATTACAGGTGTGAGCCACCACACCCAGTCAGAATTTGCTTTTAAAATTAGACAGTAAACATTAAGCTCAGAGTAATGACTCCCAGAATTCCTGGAATGCAAGGAAGTCACCAATAACAATAATGATAAGAAGAGGCCAGTCTTACTAACAGTGAGTAGGTGCCAGGTGGTGTTCTAAGTACTCAGGGGTTGCTTTCTTTCATCTTTACCTTAGCCCTGTCAGTCTAAGTGCTGTTTTCATCCCCACTTTATACTAAGAAAGAAACTAAGGATAAAAATATGGTTGGGAGATGGCCCAGTTGAAGGGAAGTCTACTTGTGATTGAGTTAATGTGAATCAGGAGAAAAGTCGTAAGTCGACATTTATACAGTGTGTGTATATGTATGGACTTTTATCCAGAAAAGGGCATTGGCAATGAAATATGTCCATCTGTTTTGTTTTCTGTATCTATTTTACATCTTTTTCCAATAGACAAAGATCTTTGGAAGTGTCTTTGGAAGTGATTGGTGATCATCTGCATATATTTTTAGAGTGGCTATTTTTAGATCTAATAGAGCAAATTGAATAATTTGTTAATTTGCATAAGATATTGTGGCTGGGCATGGTAGCTCATGCCTGTAATCTCAGCACTTTGGGAGGCCAAGGCAGGAGTATTGTCTGAGCCCATGAGTTCAAGACCAGCCTGGGGAACATAGTGAGACCCTGTCAGTACAAAAAAATTAGCTGAGCTTCGTGACACACGCCTGTAGTTCCAGCTCCTCAGGAGGCTGAGGTGGGAAAAATCACTTGAGCCCAGGAGGTTGAGGCTGCAGTGAGCTATGATGGTACCAGGCTGTATCCAGCCTGGGTGACAGAGCAGGACATTGTCAAGAAAAAGAGAGGAAAAAAAAAGATTTTCTGCAAAGTCTCTAATGTGCTGGATGATATTGTTAAGTTTCTCTCATTTTAAAATGAGACAAAGACTTCGAGATTAGAAATGAGAGGTTTCTGTTGAATTGAGCAAAGTGTTCATATTATTATGGAGCCAGCTCCATCCGTGATGAAGTATTTCAGAAGACTCTCCAGTCTGTGTGTGAAGCATGTTTATACATGTTAGGTATTCAAGTTCTTGCAGTCCTCTGGCTTCTGATCCCTGGATCCTCATCATCTTCTTTTCTCTAGAAATAATAACTTCATTCCTCTCGTGCTCACTGGAAGGATGAGTTCTAATGGGAGAGTCTCCCTGAGAGTGGAGCAGGGCCAGGACACCATTGTCTCAGTGCAGCAAATGGTTGTCTATTTAGCAGTGTCTCCCAGCACTTTTCTCAGGAGCCGAAGGATTAGGAACCATGGTAGGAATCTTTCTCCTGCATTACAGGGTACATGTGATAAAGATGGCTTTCTGAAGCCACTTTTATAATTGTCTTTATTCTTTTGCAGACGTGCTTGTTTGGAGCAATGATCGAGTGATTCGCTGGATCCTGTCAATTGGCCTTAAAGAATATGCAAACAATCTTATAGAGAGTGGTGTTCACGGAGCACTTCTGGCCTTAGATGAAACCTTCGACTTCAGTGCACTGGCACTGCTGTTACAGATCCCGACGCAGAACACACAGGTGACGCCAAACCTGTCTGTGTCTGCACTCATTGTTCAGTTGGCACCCTGATTATAGACAGCTAGTTATTCGAATAGAAAGAAACTTTAAAAAAAAAAAAAAAAAAAAACTTCAGACAACTAGTTTTTGGTTTTTTTTTTTTTTTTTGGTCTATTGGCTTTCCCTTTTCTGTTGGAAGCATGAGAGTCCTGCAATAAACCAGATAAGGACGATCTTTCATTCCAGCCCATGTGCCTGATCAGAAGAGTGACATATATTTAGTTCTTACATGGAAAGAGAAGTGTTTTTAGGTGTGCCACATGAAGATTTTATTAATTTTGTTTTTATGGGTAATTGCCTTATGCCATTCTTTTTGACTCATGGGCTCATTTGAAAAACAGGGAACTTTTATTCCTCTACAGAACATTGAATATGCCAGGCAAGGTGGCTCATGCCCACAATCCCAACACTTTGGGAGGCCCAGGTAGGCAGATTGCTTGAGTCCAGGAGTTCGAGACCAGCCTGGCCATCATGGTGAAGCTCTGTCTCTACAAAAAAATACAAAAAAATTAGCCAGGTGTGGTGGCACATGCCTGTAGTCCCAGCTACTTGGGAGGCCAAGGCAGGGAGATTGCTTGGCCCGGGAAGTGGAGGTTGTGATGAGCTCTGATTGCGCCACTGCACTCCAGCCTGAGTGACAGAGTGAGACCCCCATCCCAAAGAAAAAGGAAAAAAAAAAAAAAAAATTGAATATCTTTGGCCAATACCCCTGACCAACCCACACAACACACCCTTGTTAATATGACTCCAAGGATCATGGATCCCTTTCTGCAAAAGCCCATCCATTGACTCCACATTAGATGCCCTGATTTAAAATATTATTATGGTTCAATGTAGTCATAGCAGTGAGGGAGTTGTTTTTTTGTTTGTTTTGAGATGGAGTTTCGCTCTTGTTGCCCAGGCTGGAGTGCAATGGTGCAATCTTGGCTCACTGCACCCTCTGTCTCCCAGGTTCAAGTGATTTTCCTGCCTCATCCTCCCAAGTAGCTGAGATTACCGGCACACGCCACCGTGCCCGGCTTATTTTTGTATTTTTAGTATAGATGGGATTTCACCATGTTGGCCAAGCTGGTCTCAAACTCCTGATCTCAAGTGATCTGCCTGTCTCGGCCTCCCAAAGTACTGGGATTACAGGCATGAGCCACCACACCCAGGCCCTAATTTTTGTATTTTTAGTAGAGACGGGGTTTTACCATGTTGCCCAGGCTGGTCTTGAACTCCTGACCTCAGGTGGTCTGTCCGCCTTGGCGTCCGAAAGTGTTGGAATTACAGGCGTGAGCCACCAGACCCAGCCAGCAGTGAGGGAGTTTAAGTCTTGGTTTAAAAAACAATTACGATGCTAACACCCTTCAAATTAGATTTGATGAAAGTTTTATTTGTTTTTCTTTGGTTATTTCAGGCTCGTGCTGTCTTGGAAAGAGAATTTAACAACCTTTTGGTCATGGGGACTGATAGAAGGTTTGATGAAGTAAGTTTTTGGCCTAATGTTCTTTAAATGTCTGAAATGTGTGTAAATGTTTAAATGTGTGTGAAATGTAAGCTGTTATTATTATTATACTTGGGACATCATGTAGCTAGGCAGTCTCTCTGGATGTTAGAAGTCAGGCTTTGCTCTTATACATTTATTCACAAATGAGCCTTTAAAAACTAATACCTGGGCCGGGCACGGCGGCTCGCACCTGTAATCCCAGCACTTTCGGAGGCTGAGGCGGGCGGATCACCAGAGGTCAGGAGTTTAAGACCAGCCCGGCCAACATGGTGAAACCCCATCTCTACTAAAAAACACAAAAATTAGCCGGGCGTTGTGGTAGGTGCCTATAATCGCAGCTACTTGGGAGGCTGAGGCTGGAGAATCGCTTAAACCTGGGAGGTGGAGGTTGCAGTGAGCTGAGATCGCACCACTGCCCTCCAGCCTGGGCGACAGAGAGAAACTCCATCTCAAAAAGAAACCCCCTCCCCGCAAAAAAAAAACCCACAAAAGTAATACCTTCAAGAAGGTAGTTTTGTTTTTATTTTTGCTATTTAATTTTTGACATCCCTCAAAAATGGTTTTCACATCATAAAACATTGGTTGCAGCTTAGGAACAGAGTCTGTAAGTTGGGTTTTGGGGACCAGTAGTTATCCTACCCCAGTCCAGAGTGTACCCCCATACTCCTGTGCATGGGTGGGGTGGCATGTTTCAGAAGTATATTAAAAACACAAAATGTTAATTTCCCCTTAAAACCATGACTCATTTGTTCCACACGATTAGGAGTCTCTTAATTGGACCTTAAGAAAAGTTGAGTTTGACAGAGAGAATAGAAGACCACCTCTAAAGATGAAGCACTTGTTGCTATATCCTGGCATAAGATAAAATTGTTTCTAGTTAAAAATTGTTTGTAGAGCTGCGTGTGGTAGGGGCACACCTGTAGTTCCAGCTACTTAGGAGGCTGCGGTGGGAGGATGGCTTGAGCCCAGGAGTTTGAGGTTACAGTGAGCTATAATCACACCACTGCATTCCAGCTCGGGCAACAGATCTAGACTCTGTCTGTAAAAACATAAATAAAAATGAAAAATAAACTATTTTTAAGATAAATAAAAACGTATTACGTTGCAAGAAAGTGATTCCTGCAAGGTGTAAGAAGTAGAACATGATGCTGTGGAGAAGGAGCACATCCTCATGGCCCAGCACCGACCTCATTTCGCCAGCTGAGGCCCAGCCGGACCATCACCATGCCCCGTTTCACGCTGAAGTTCCAGGTTGGGCAATATATTGTGTGGTCATCAAGAAGGGATTAAATACATGTGGACAAGAATACATTCTCGAGATCAGCAGTCATTTTAAAGGACATGTAACTTTACATCTCTGACCTTTATTTTTTAAATGAATCTTGTTTTTTGTTCCTTAATTTACCAGGATGATGATAAAAGCTTTAGGAGAGCACCTTCATGGAGAAAAAAGTTTAGACCAAAGGACATTCGTGGCTTAGCTGCTGGGTCAGCAGAGACTCTCCCTGCAAACTTCCGGGTGACTTCTTCTATGTCTTCCCCCTCTATGCAGCCAAAGAAGATGCAGATGGACGGTATGTGATGGGTCACACTAACCTGTCACTTGTTGGGAGCATGAGCAGCTTTCTGTCTGGAACATTAATAATGATCTAAAACGGCCTATTTAATATGTTACAAGGCACTTGAGTATGGTTGCATGTCCAAATATAAATGTTTTTAAATTAACTCTAACATTTGTTTATAAAAGTTTAACCATAATAATAGAATTTTTAAAACACGCTTGTCTGGTTGAATCTTAGCATATTTTTCCAACTAATAAAGCTCAGTATTCGTCTGTGTTCTCAGAGAGAGACTGAGGCATACTTGTAAATTTGTGTCTGTGACAGGCCGTGCTAGAAAGCTCTTTCAGGAAATAGTAGTGTAGTAGTAGCTTCCAAACCACATAATTTACTGCTCTCCACACCAGAGAAAATAACTGAGTA
Source organism: Homo sapiens (assembly GCF_000001405.40). NCBI lineage: Eukaryota > Metazoa > Chordata > Mammalia > Primates > Hominidae > Homo > Homo sapiens. The sequence continues at coordinate 139,892 of NW_021160005.1, forward strand.
CATTTTTAAGAACACACAGTTTCCAGCTTGTGTGAGCTCTGCCTATGCTTTCTGCCCTCCCTGCTGCTGCTGTTCCGTGCAGTCACATGTCTACCCATTAGAGGGCAGGGAAGGGAGGAAGGTGAACCTCCAAGAAGTCCCCAGTGGAGCGAGGCAGCTATTGACTATACCAGCCAGAGAGAGAGCATCACTGCCATGATTTCACATGCAGTTTGGGATTTTCCCTTAGACGGCCACTTTGATTTGAGGTTAACAGTTGACCATGGCTTCCTTACAGGTCTCTCAACTCTGCCCTTGTACTCATCTAATGAAAGGCAGTGCACAGGTTGAAGAGCCAGGCTGCCTAGGTTTGACTCCAGCTCTGCCACTAGGAGGTGCATGACCCTGAACAAGTCATTTAACTACCCTGGCCTCGGTCTCCCCATCTGTAAAATGGTCGTCATGGTAGTGTCTTCCTCATAGAGTAGTTGCGATGATTGAATGCCTCATTCATTAAGCTGGTGAAGTTCTGAGCCCGTGTCAGTCGGGGCTGTTTGGCAGCCCCTGTGCTACACACAGGTCACTCATGCTCACTTCTGAGGCCAGTGAGCAGACTGGAGGAAAGGAAGTGGCATTAAAAACTGTGCTAATCCTTGAGGCCAGGAGTTTGAGACCAGCCTGACCAACATGGCGAAACCCCGTCTCTACAAAAAAAAAATACAAAAATTAGCCAGGTGTGGTGGCACATGCTTGTAATCCCAGCTACTTGGGAGGCTAAGGCACAAGAATCATTTGGACCTGGGAGGCAGAGGGTGCAGTGAGCCGAGATTGTGCCGCTGCACTCTAGCCTTGATGACAGACTGAGACTCTGTCTCAAAAAAAAAAAAAATTTTTTTTTAAGTGCTAATTAGGGGCCAAGCATGGTGGCTTATACCAGTAATCCTAGCACTTTGATAGGCTGAGAGGCAGGAGAATCACTTGAGCTGAAGTTTGAGACTAGCCTGGGCAACACAGTGAGACCCCATCTCTAAAAAAAAAAAAATAATAATTGAAAACTGTGCGAATGGGGTTTTTGCCAATTTTTTTTGTCATCAGTCCCTCCCGTACGTAGGTTCATAAATTTTGTTCTCTATCACCTGTATAAAAATAAAAAGAAAAGTACATTTAAATAAAACCTTAGTTAAGCTGGACGCTTTGGGTGAGAATAGCTTACTTTGTGGCATTTTTAGTAAAAAGCTGTATTATTTATTTATTGTTTGCCAGAATTTGATAATATACTCAAGGGGGAAAACCCAGTATATCTTTTAACTAGGAACTTTTTACAAATTAGCATTTTTCTTCCAAGAGTCATGCATATAATTCTTAGAAAGCAGAACTGTGACTTGGCCTTCAGCTCAAGCTCTGTCACCTGGAGTCCACGAGTGCTTTCTTGTTTTACTTGTGGCTTCAATTTCAGTTTTCCTTCTGATAAATCACATCTCCCTTGTTAAATGTTAACAGGAATATTAAGAATGAGAGTTTGGATGGATGAAAAGTAAACCTAGGCCGGGCGCGGTGGCTCACGCCTGTAATCCCAGCACTTTGGGAGGCTGAGGTGGGTGGATCAGCTGAGGTCAGGAGTTCGAGACCAGCCTGGCCAACGTGGTGAGACCAGCCTGGCCAACGTGGTGAAACCCTGTCTCTAGTAAAAATACAAAAAAATCGGCCGGGCTCGGTGGCTCACGCCTGTAATCCCAGCACTTTGGGAGGCCAAGGCGGGAGGATCACGAGGTCAGGAGATCAAGACCATCCTGGCTAACACGGTGAAACTCCATCTCTACTAAAAATACAAAAAAAAAAAAAAAATTAGCTGGGCACGGTGGCAGGCGCCTGTAGTACCAGCTACTCGGGAGGCTGGGGCAGGAGAATGGCATGAACCCAGGAGGCGGAGCTTGTGGTGAGCCAAGATCACACCACTGCACTCCAGCCTGGGCGACAGAGCAGGACTGTCTCAAAAGAAAAAATTTGCCAGGCATGGTGACACATGCCAATAATCCCAGCTACTTAGGAGGCTGAGGCAGGAGAATGGCTTGAACCTGGGAGGCAGAGGTTGCAGTGAGCCGAAATCATGCCACTGTACTCCAGCCTGGGCGACAAGAGCAAAACTCTGTCTCAAAAAAAAAAAAAAAGTAAACCTAAAAGGTATAGGGAATTTATTATAAAGAAGACTTTTTACCCTTACATTAAATAACTCAGGCACAAGCCTGCTAAAGGGATTATTATTATTATTGAGACAGGGTCTCACTCTGTTGCCCAGGTTGGAGTGCAGTGGCTCAGTCTCGGCTTACTGCAACCTCAGCCTCCCAAGTAGCTGGGACCACAGGTGTGGTCCCATGCCTTGCTAATTTTTTGAATTTTTTGTAGAGATGGGCTCTCACCATGTTGCCCAGGCTGGTCTTAACTCTTGGGCTCAAGCAATCCTCCTGCCTTGACCTCCCAAATTGCTGGAATTACAGACGCGAGCCACCGTGCCCAGCAAAGTTGACTATTTTAATGGCTTTTTAATTAAGGGAATGTGGGGTAAACTCCAGCAGGTCTCCCAGGTTCTTAAGAGTCAGAGGGTTTGTGAAGATCATCTGTCCTCACCAACAGTCCCAACTGTCTTAATGTCTTTGCTGGAACCATGCAGGATGTTGATTAAGTGTTCCTGGTATACCTGTGGGAAAACAAAAAACATAACCGGGAGCAGCCAGTACCTGCTTCCGATTTGCAAAAACTTAAAATCCCAGTTGTTAATGGAAATCGGGCTTACTTATGGCCACACTGTGTTTCTTGAACAAGAACCAAAATCTGTGGTCTCTATGATTAATATTTCTGGTAGGAACTGAGACTGGGCTTCAGTTTTTAGATCAGCTTTCACCCCACTCCCTGGCCAACGCCCCACCCCTGCAGCCAGATCTCTGCACCTGCTCTGCTCCTCCCCAGGAGAAAAGGGCACCGGCTTCCCAGACACCCAGCTAGTGCTGGGTAGCAAGGTTCTCTCCCTCCTCTTAGACTGGTCTTGTACCCGACGTCGTTGGCCTCTGCGCTCAGTGGGGCTGGGCAGCATCAGCAGTGCCGCTTGGTGTTTCCTTCATACCAGTGTTAGAGATGGAGCACTTAGGGCAGGGAGAAAGCCCCATTGGTCTATGAATGCAGAGTTTAGTAAGAGATAAAGGGATCACTCTAAGTAGGGGTCATTTATGCAGATGTACATTTTGAAATTGTTACTGTACCATTTGGTGCTTGGTATTTCGGAGTAGTGTTCCAGAGTCTCCCGGGGCTCTTTGGGAGCTGGGGAGAGCCACCACTGGGTGACACTTGGATCTCTCTGGCTCCATCCCGCCCACTCAGGCAGCTCCCCTCAGGTCCCTCCGTAGGCACTGCTGTAGGTGTGAAGATGTGTGTCTACTTGTGCCCTCATGTGATGTTCTAAGACTAACTGCACGCTGTGTTTGCACGCTTCCTCTCGTGGCTGTTGAAACAGGCAATGTATCAGGAACACAGAGGTTGGATTCTGCTACAGTCAGGACTTACTCCTGCTAAAGTCTCCTGTTGGTGAGTAGAGAGCACCACAACCCCTAGAGATGGCTCAGAGGCACAGCAGGAGTCATCGGAGCTGCAGTGCCAGACTAGGGGTGTGGACCATGAAAGCCAGTGCAGTTTTTGGGGAATTTAAAATATATATAGACACAAGCTCTCCGTACCCATTAAGATCATTTTGTTGTTACAATTGATCATAAAGAGGTTAGTGTGTCCTCTTTTTTTAAGGAAAAAAATGTATTTTCACCTTTTCCTTAAACCTGAAAATGCTGACTCATTTTAATTGTCTGTGGATGTCATGGGGGTGGAGTGGGGAGGAGAGCAGAGCATGGCAGAGAGCGTCAGGGGAGAGTCTCTCCTCCTGACGTCGTTATGCACATTGCTGTGATTCCTAAGCTTGCTTTGTTTTAAATACACATTCTTGAATGAAACAAGCCCAAAGTTTTGTGGTTAATTATATATTATACTAAGTGTGACACTAATAGCCTTTCAGTTTGGAGAGACTGGTTCTTAAAACTGCGGACTCTGGCTGGTGAGTGGCCCGCCCTCTCCTTGCTGTTCTAAGCAATTTTAAGGTCTCCGTTGGAATATTTGACTGGTTTGTTCATCTTTTATTTGTAATTGGTAACATGGAGACGTAAGCCAAAATGAAGTCAGCCAAGGAGCTGTCTCATTGATGTGCATAGCCCTTGATGTTCTAGCCAGTGATTCTCAGAGCAGCTACGGCACAGAAAGTGAGGGGTCCTGGAGGGGAGGGGTCAGTGTCGGGGGGACGTTTGGGCCCCAGCATCAGAAGTTCCCGTTCGTCAGTATGGCCCGGCCTGTACTGAGTGGTTTTTTGTTTGTGTTTATTTTCCAGTTTACCCACACTACTTCTACAGATGATTATGCAGCATTTGAATCCAACAAAGACTACATTTTGGAATCCAGTGGAATCTTTAATCTTGTTAATACTTGTTATATGGACCCTAAGATATTTTATTACAGAGTTTTTAATTAGTGAAAAATTCATGAATACCATAGAGAAAATATTTTAGAATTTAATGTTTCTTATATTTATGTAAACTTATGACTCTTCATTTATATAGTTACTTACTTTTTCATGTATATCCAGGCTATAAATATCCTTTCAAATCATGTTCTTATACCTAATTTTAGTCTTTCAAATGAATGTACTGTAATGCTTGTATGTATAAATCCTATGAATAGAGGGCTTTTGTAAATTATGCATTTATTGTAATTATCATTAATTTTTTAATGATAAACCATGACAAAGGATTTTACGTTTATAAAATTATGACAGAAGCCATGTGCATTATCCTTTACGGACGCAGCCTAGCTCTACAGCAATCATCCTGAAATAAGCATACCTAATTTCAAGCAATTGTTGTATTTTCATGACTGACCTTAACTGTACTTTTTCTAGCAAGAGATGCTTTATTCTGCAGCATGAACAGATTTAAAATGGCTGGTGTTAAATATCAGCTCCTAATAAGATGTGGACTGAAAACACTATCACAACACTATGAGAAGCCCCTAGCACTGGTTAACGCTTTCCTAGCCTAGTCTCTGGATTTGGGGAGCTTGTCTTCAGTGGCTGAGACTGTGAGCTGGGAGCAGTTCTCTCAGCTGGAGAGACTCGGGATGGGGTAACCTGGGGACCAGTCTAGCCCCTGCACCCTCTTCCCTGCCTCTGCTCCTTGGGAGCGGGTGGAGAGACACCCATGTGGCTCCCCTTAGGGCCAGCACCAAGCACCACGCTCTCATCCTGCAAGTCGGCGCACACAGTGGATGAAGGCAGGAGACCCAGAAAGCAGTGCAGTGCAGCTCTAATAAAGGCCTTATTTTTCTTATGTAAATCATCTTTTTACATTTGTTTGTAAACATGTTTAAAGAACGAACCTAGTGGGACATTTTTAGACTTTGATGCTCTAGCCATTTTGGATTGTGTAAGTTGCAGATGTGGCTTTTACTTTTTAAATGGCATATTAACAAGCCAGCAAAGTGTGTCAGACCATGGCGTGGTATTTATTGTGCAGCAGATCCAGAGACAGAGGCAGCCTGTCTTTTCAGTTGGTTTCTGCTTTTAATTTACTTGTACAATTCATTGTTACTGTTCTGTTTTTCTATTAATCTTTTGTCAACTTCCTGATTATGTAACAAAGTATGTACAGTCTACTTTTGAACTATTTTTATCACAGTATTATTTATTGCTTTCTTTCAATAAAGTACTGAAGCATTTTCCACTGCCAATGAAGAATACTGAGAATAAGCTCTAACTGTTTTGGAAGGCAGTGTCACCATATGGAAATTGTATTACAGAAGTCAATTGACAGAATAAAGCAGCCAGGAGATGAAGTGCAGGTTCAGGGCGTCATCCTGCCCGCTGCTCTGGAGGTCCCGAGCCTGCATCACTGCAGGAGACAGGTGCCTGGTGTTAAATTGTTAAATGCAAATGTGGGGGCTCACATACACAGTCGGTGGGTAGGGCCCAAAGGCAGAGCCTAGGCCGTGGACCGCGCGCATGCACGCATGTCCCTTAACACCGTTTCCCAGCTCTGCTTCCTTCCTCGGTGCTGGCTTCACACTCCCACCTGCTCTCCCTGCCTGCTCACAAAGGTGGCTCCCAGGCCTGCACCCTTCCACACTGATGGCCTCTGGAAATCAGGAAGCCTGGTTCCCTAATAGCTCACATCCGGTCCTGAGTTGTGAAGCAGCCCAGGGTGGCAGAGGGGAGGCGACACGCTGACAGGCTGGGGGAGTCAAGCAGGGCCCACCCATGGAAGTTGGTGAGCTGAGGCTGAAGGGCTGGAAGCTGATGCCCAAGAGGAAAGCCAGACACCAGCAAGTGTCCCTTCCCCTCCTCCCACCTCAGTGTTGCCATTGAGCCTGGGATTCGCAGAGCCCATGGCCACCACCACCCCACCTGGAGCAGGCATCAGCGGCCACTGCCGACGTCACCTTGGTCTCCGTTTCCTCATTCTGTCTCCGTTGCTGACACCTCGTCTGAGTGGCACGTGCTGTCACGTGGGTCAGTGTGTCCTGGGACGTTTCTCTCAGGCAGCCATCGGGTGTTCAGTGCTTTCCTGTTTCGAACCTGTGTTTGCTGATCTTCCTGCTTAATGTAGGGAAAGCCTTGTTTTCTGTACTTTCTAGTTCTTGAGGTTAACTTCAGTGTGAGCTTTAAAACATAATGTAGTGCCTCCCTGCTTTTTTCCATTTAATAGTCCCTTTTGGCTGAACAAAGCCAAAGGCATGCGTCGAGTATCTTAAAACTTCCAGAAAAAAAGAGACTGGGCAGGGTGTGGTGGCTCACGTCTGTAATCCAGCACTTTGGGGGGCCGAGGTGGGCGGATCACGAGGTCAAGAGATCGAGACCATCCTTCCCAACATGGTGAAACCCAGTCGCTACTAAAAATACAAAAATTAGCTGGCCTGTAGTCCCAGCTACTCGGGAGGCTAAGGCAGGAGAAACGCTTGGACCCAGGAGGTAGAGGTTGCAGTGAGCCAAGATCGCACCACTGCACTCCAGCCTGGCAACAGAGCAAGACTCCATCTCAAAAAAAAAAAAAAAAAAAAAAAAAAAGGGACTGGGGGCAGTGGCTCATGCCTGTAATCCCAGCACTTTGGGAGGCCAAGCTGGGAAGATCACTTGAGGCCAGGAGTTCAAGACCAGCCTGGGCAACGTAGTAAGACCCCCTTCTCTACCAAAAAAAAAAAAAGTGAAGACATTTTAAAATAAAACGACACTTGGCATGCAAATAGGTTTGACGTCTAGGACCGTTAATCTTCAAACTTGAGTGTGCGAAGCATCACCTGGCAAAAGATGCAGTTGTGGGCATCCCCTCTCCATTCAGAGCGATTCAGCACTCATTCATTGAGTATCTATCTACTCTGTACCAGGCTCTTTTTGGTGCTGGAGAGACCGTGGTAAGAACATTATTTCACCCTTCCAGGAAAAAGAAACGTTTCTAAGCCTGTACATCCAAGAGACAGCCCAGGAGTACAAGTTGCGCCATGACATTGGCATGGAGGGAGGGAGAAGTCCTCTGGGGAGGCCTGCATCACACAACATCAAATGCTGAGAACCATTTCATGTTCACGCTACATATTTACTGTCTCCTATGAATAAAACTCCAGACAGGGTTTCAGAGAACACCAATGCAAATGGACCTGTATTAGGTAATATGCCACCTTTCTTCATGTGACCTGTCATGCACCAGCTCTTGTGAGGTGGTTTTTTTTTTTGAGATGGAGTTTCACTCTTGTTGCCCAGACTGGAGTGCAATGACACAATCTTGGCTCACTGCAACCTCTGCCTCTTGGGTTCAAGTGATTCTTCTGCCTCAGCCTCCCAAGTCACTAGGATTACAGGTGCACGCCACCACACCTGGTTAATTTTTTGTTATTTTTAGTGGAGACGGCGTTTCGCCATTTTGGCCAGGCTGGTCTCGAACTCCTGACCTCAGGTGATCCACCCACCTCTGCCTCCCAAAGTGCTGGGATTACAGGCGTGAGCCACGGCGCCCGGTTGTGAATTTTTTTTTTTTTTTTTTTTTGAGACGTCTCACTCTGTCACCAAGGCTGGAGTGCAGCGGCGCGATTTCGGCTCACTGCAAGCTCGCCTCCCGGGTTCACGCCATTCTCCTGCCTCAGCCTCCTGAGTAGCTGGGACTACAGACGCCCGCCACCATGCCCAGCTAATTTTTTGTATTTTTTAGTAGAGACGGGGTTTCACCATGTTAGCCAGGACGGTCTCGATCTCCCGACCTCGTGATCCGCCCGCCTCGGCCTCCCAGAATGCTGGGATTACAAGCATGAGCCACCACGCCCAGCCACTGGTCGTGAATACTTTAAATAGGTCTTGCCAATCGACCTCAAAAGAAGCCAACAGAGCACAATTTTTCACTCCTGATGAAGGGCGGTCGACAAAGCACGACTCTGCCTTAACACTACACGGTTCTCATCTTCAAATAGACCAAAATGTGCTCATTAAACAAAAGCAATATAATTTAGGAATGGGGGTATTACAGAAACTGTAAGTCTTGAGGGAGTTGAATCACCAATTCTCCAACACCCTATTTTCATTTTTAAGTTTTTTGTTATAATCAAAGTCATACATGCACATCATTTAAAGTAAAAACAAGCCGGGTGCAGTGGCTTACGCCTATAATCCCAGCACTTTGGGAGGGTGAGGCGAGTGGACTGCCTGAGGTCAGGAGGTCAAGACCAGCCTGGCCAATGTAGTGAAACCTCATCTCTACGAAAAATACAAAAAAAATTAGCTGGGCGTGGTGGTGGGCACCTGTAATCCCAGCGACTAGGGAGGCTGAGGCAGGAGAATCGCTTGAACCCAAGACGCAGAGGTTGCAGTGAGCTGAAATCACACCATTGCACTCCAGTCTGGGCAACAAGAGCGAAACTCCGTCTCAAAAATAAATAAAAATAAAAAAAGAATAAAACCAGCAGCCCTTGCCCTTGCCCTTCCTCTCTTTCTCCCTGCTCCCTAGACCATGGGGAATGGATTTGGCTATTCCTTCTATTTGCTTTCTTACTCCCAAATGATATGCGCTCAGCGTGGCGTCCTGCTTCCTCCATTTTGGGCCATGTCTTGTGGCTGATGAGAATTTGAGCACCTGGCACCTCCCTTCCCCTCTCCCAGTCTCCCAGCTGAGGTTAAGTCAAGTTGTTGGGATCAAATCCATGTTCTCTGTTTTCATTATTATGACTATATTATTTATTGGTGAGGCAAGTGGGATACTTTGATTATAACACAGGGGGGCACATGGTAAGACTATATTCCCCAGTATTCACAGATGAAATAACACGATGTCTGGGGTTTGCTTTAAAATAATCTTAGGGGGCCGGGCGCGGTGGCTCACGCCTGTAATCCCAGCACTTTGGGAGGCCGAGGCGGGTGGATCACCGGGTCAGGGGTTCGAGACCAGCCTGACCAACATGGTGAAACCCCGTCTCTACTAAAAATACAAAAATTAGCTGGGCGTGATGGCGGGCGCTTGCAATCGCAGCTACTCAGGAGGCTGAGGCAGAATTGCTTGAACCCGGGAGATGGAGGTTGCAGTGAGTCGAGATTGCACCACTGCACTCTAGCCTGGGTGACAGAGCAAGACTCGGTCTCAAAAAAAAAATATCATCATCATCATCATCATCTTAGGGGAGGGAGGGCTTATGGATTGAACAACACTGACCATGTGGATTGGTGACTGTTGAAGGTGGATGGTGCATTCATGATGGTTACATTAATCCACCTTCACATTTGTGTGAGATTTTCCATAATAAAATGTTTGCTGGGTGCAGTGGCTCACACCTGTAATCCCAACACTTTGAGGCCAAGGCTGTAGGATTTCTTGAGGCCAGGAGCTCAAGACCAGCCTGGGCAACAGGCTCTGCCTCTGCAGTAAATTTAAAGATTAGCGGGGTGTGGTGGCACACGCCTGTAGTTCCAGCTATTCTGGAGGGTGAGGTGGGGGACCACTTGAGCTTGGGAGGTCGAGGCTGTAGTGAGTTACGATTATGCCACTGGACTCCAGCCTGGGCAACACAGCAAGACCCTGTCTCAAAAAAATAGTCCAAAAAACAATTTTTAATAGTTGTCTCAGGCAGACCCTCTATGTGATAAACTGTCTTCGTCTTTGGATGTCTGAGAATACTGCTGCTTACCCCTTCACTTCATTACGGTAATTTTGCCCAGTTTCAAACTCTAACTGCAGCCCACAGCTGAAATATTTTATATCACAACCCAGCATGCACACACTACATTTCATCAATTCTGCTGTGAACATTTTTTCATGTTTTGGTATCTTAAATTAGGATGTGTCTTATAAGCAATGATACTGAAGCACTCTGGGAGGCTGAGGTGGGTGGATTGCTTGAGCTCATCAGTTCGAGACCAGCCTGGGCAACATGGCAAAACCCCGTCTCTACAAACAACACAAAAATTAGCTGGGTGTGGTGGTGTGTGCCTGTAGCCCCAGCTACTCAGGAGGCTGAGGTGGAAAGATCGCTTGAGCCCAGGAGGTGGAGGTTGCAGTGAGCTGTGATCAGGCTGCTGCACTCCAGCCTGGGCAACAGAGCCGGACTGTGTCTCGACAACAACAGAAACATTTACTCCAAATTGTATTTTTGACATTATTTGTAATGGCTGTTATAGGGCCAACAGATGAAGTGGCCCTGCAAAGCTGTCTATTGTCAGGGCAATTTGCATCTGTAGAGAATCTCCATTACTGCACCCAGGCCTTATATAACACCTTGAAAAGTCTGAAAAGAGCCGTTTATCATCCCTGACGACTTCTACTTGTGAGGTTTCATCTATGTAACAAGACCCCGTTTGCTAGCCAGACCTCTTCCTCCCGTCTTCCCAGAACCTCATTTGCCAGGATCCAAGCCCTCATTCATTCTGTGGCCTCAAGACCTGACAGTGGTGCCCAAGGAGAGAATACAGTCATGGGTTCCTAGTCTCTTTCTGGTTGGCCCAGTAAAGCCCCTTCCTTATCCCTCTTTTCTACTTATCACTAGAGACAGAAACTCAAAACCATGGCGTTGGGCTGCCAAAAGCCTAGAACAGAACAACAAAATAAGGCAGGTTGGACAAGCCTGGATAAGCTCCTGTACCTCCTGGGGGGCTGGGTCTCTATTCTGAAGGCTCCTGTGTATACATGGTAAATACATGTGTGTGCCTTTTCTCCGATTAGCCAATCTGCCTCATGCCAGTGATTTTTCAGCAAACCTTTAGGGGGCCAAGGGCCTTGGCTCCCACAACATGTTAGACTTGATGAAACACATACAGTATGTGACAAAACATTTAAGACAGGCTGCAAATTCTCTGCTACTCCTCACAGTGAAAGGTAAGAGTCTAACTCCCCTCCCTTAAACCTGGGCTGGCCTTAGTGACTTGCTTGACCAAAAGAATGCAGCAGACATAACTTTGAGACCTGGAGCTAGGTCACAAGACGATTTCCTGGGTTTTGTGGAATTCTCGTTCTGAAAGAAACAAGCCACCAAGTGGCCGGGTGAGCTGGCTCACGCCTGTAATCCCAGCACTTTGGGAGGCCGAGCCGGGCCGATCACAAGGTCAGGAGATCGAGACCATCCTGGCTAACATGGTGAAACCCCGTCTCTACTAAAAATACAAAAAAATTAGCCGGGCATACTGGCGGGCGCCTGTAGTCCCAGCTACTCGGGAGGCTGAGGCAGGAGAATGGCATGAACCTGGGAGGCGGAGGTCGCAGTGGGCCAAGATCGCGCCACTGCACTCGAGTCTGGGTGACTAGCAAGTAATAAGTCCTATTACTCCAAGACCACCCCACTGTAAGGAGGCCCAAGCTAGCCACATGAAAAGACTGGAGAGAGCTGTCTAGTGTCTGTCCCCAGCTGCTCCCGCCATCCTATTCGAAGTGCCAGCCATACACGTGATGAAGCCAACTTGGACATGCCAGTTCTCACAGCCGTGCTGGAGGAGAAGCCATTCTGACGTACCCAACATTCAGAAGCGAGGCCCAGACATAGAACCCCGGTCTTCATCGCAGCCATGGCTGACCAGATGAGCCACTCCAGTGGAGACCATTGAAATGAAGGTAAGCCGCTCCCACATCCCCCATCTGACTCACAAAATTATGAGCATGATGAAAGGTTTCACCAGTAAACACCACCACCTTTTATGGTTTATTATGTTTGGGGTGGTTTATTATGTTACAGGAAAGAGGTCCAGATCCAGGCCCCAAGAGGGGGTTCTTGGATCTTGCACAAGAAAGAATTCAGGACAAGTCCACAGAGTAAGGTGAAAGCAAGTTTATTAGGGGAGCAAAGGAACAAAAGAATAGAGCAAACCTTTAGAATAGAGCAGCCCCAAGGGCTGCTAGTTGCCCATTTTTATGGTTATTTCTTGATGACATGCTAAACAAGGGGTGGCCGATTATTCATGCCTCCCCTTTCTAGACCACATAGAGTAACTTCCTGACGTTGCCATGGCATTTGTAAACTGTCATGGCGTTGATGGGAGTGTAGCAGTGAGGACGACCAGAGGTCACTCTCGCCGCCATCTTGGTTTTGGTGGGTTTTGGCCGCCTGCTGCTGCTTTTTTTTTTTTTTTTTTTTTTTTTTTTTGAGATGGAGTTTCACTCTGTCACCCAGGCAGGAGTGCAGTGGTGCGATCTCGGCTCACTGCAACCTCCGCCTGCCGGGTTCAAGCAATTCTCTGACTCAGCCTCCTGAGTAGCTGGGTTTACAGGTGCCCGCCACCACGCCCAGCTAATTTTTTTGTATTTTTAGTAGAGACGGGGTTTCACCATGTTGGCCAGGCTGGTCTTGAACTCCTGACCTCATGATCCACCCACCTCCCAAAGTGCTGGGATTACAGGCATGAGCCACCACGCCTGGCTATGGCCGGCTTCTTTACCGCAAGCTGTTTTATCAGCAAGGTGTTTATGACCTGTATTTTGTGCTGACCGCCTACATCATCCTGTGACTTAGAATGCCTCAGTCATCTGGGAATGCATCCCAGTAGGTTTCAGCCTCATTTTACCCAGCTCCTATTCAAGATGGAGTTGCTCTGGTTCACACGCCCCTGACAATTACACAGCCATTGATACGGTATGTAAACCAAAAGTGACTCTTAAGCACCCCCAACCAACTGAATAGACCCTTCCCCCTTGGCCAAGAGGATGCCAAAGAAACCTGAAAAACTGGCCAGGCACAGTGGCTCACACCTGTAATCCCAGCACTTTGGGAGGCTGAGGCAGGTGGATCACGAGGTCAGGAGTTTGAGACCAACCTGACCAACAGGGTGAAACCCCGTCTCTACTAAAAATACAAAACTTATCCGGGCATGGTGGCACAGGCCTGTAATCCCATCTGCTCAGGAGGCTGAGGCAGAGAATTGCTTGAACCTGGGAGGTGGAGGTTGCAGTGAGTCGAGATCATGCCACTGCACTCCAGCGTGGGCAACAGAGTGAGATTCTGTCTCAAAAAAAAAAAAAAAAGAAAAGAAAATCTGAGTCCACCTATGCCCTGTAAGCCCCCGCTTTGAGTTGTCGCGCCTTTCCAGATGGAACCAATGTATACCTCACATGCACTGATTGATGTCTTATGTCTCCTTAAAATATATAAACCAAAGCTGTAACCCAACCACCTTGGGCCCATGTTCTCAGGACCTCCTGAGGCTGCCTCATGGGTCATGGCCCTTGCATTTAGCTCAGAATAAATCTCTTTTAATACTTTCCAGAGTTTGGCATTTTTTTGTCAATATGTATATGAAATATACCCTTAGGTTTTCTGTCTAATATGTTCTATGCTGTCCCCTGCTCCCACCCCACGATCATCTGCTATATTTTCTTATCCGTTGCTGTTTAAAGACCCACCCCAAAATGTAACAGTAAAAAACAACCAAGATTTATTGCTTCTTTTGATTCAGTGGGTTGGCAATCTCGGTGACTTTTTTCCTTTTTTTTTTTGTAGATGGAGTTTCACTATTGTCACCCAGGCTGGAGTGCAATGGTGATCTCGGCTCACTGCAACCTCCACCTCCCGGGTTCAAGTAATTCTCCTGCCTCAGCCTCCCAAGTAGCTGGGATTACAGGTGCCCGCCACCACACCCAGCTAATTTTTGTATTTTTAGTAGATACGGGGTTTCACCATGTTGCCCAGGCTGGTCTTGAACTCCTAACCTCAGGTTATCCTCCCACCTCGTCCTCCCAAAGTGCTGGGATTACAGGCGTGAGCCACAGCGCCCAGTCCCATTCCCATTTTTTTTAAATCAGAGTCACTCTGTCACCCAAGCTGGAGTGCACTGGCATGATTATAGCTCACTGTACCCGTGAACTCCTAACACCTGGGCCTAAGGGATCCTCCCACCTCAGCCTTCTGAGTAGCAGGGACTACAGGCATGAGCCACATGGCCTGGTTCTAAACATAATTTTAAAATCATACTCATGTTCTACAATATAAAATTCAACTTTAATAATTCATGTTCCCATTGTTCACAGTATTGGCTTTCTTATTTATTTTATATTTTGAGACAGGGTCTCCCTCTATCATTCATGCTGGAGTGCAGTGGCGAAATCATGGTTCATTGGCAGCCTTGACCTCCTGGGCTCAGCTGATCCTCTTGCCTCAGTCTTCCAAGTAGCTGGGACTGTAGGCACAGGCCACCACACCCAGCTAATTTTTTTAAAGTTTTGTAGACACAGGGTCTTCACTATGTTGCCCAGGCTGGTCTTGAACTCCTGAGCTCAAGCAATCCACCTGCCTCGGCCTCCCAAGGTGCTGGATTATAGGCATGAGTCACTGTGCCTGGCCTTTGGCTTTCTTATTTAGTATTCATTTTTACAATCCCTTTGGAACTTACATTCTAGGTTCATTTTAATTAGGAAATGTTTCATTTTCTCTCTTCCTCACTGTGTGTGACGCTGTCTGTCTCCCTGTTCTGCAGTTGCCTCAACCTCTCTGTATTAGGGTGGGCTAAACATCTGGAACAAATGGACTCCAAACGCAATATCTTAAACACAACAGGATTTTCTTTTGCTTTCACGTAACAGGGCAGGGTGTATGTCCAGGTCAGGCAGAGGAGGAGAAAGGGATAGTAAGGAAGATCTGTTCCACGCAGTCTTGGAGGGATGCAGGCTGGTGGGCTCTGCCATCCTCAAAACAGGGCTTCCAAGGTTGTACCTGTCACCTGTAGTAGGCTGAATAATGGCCTCCAAATATGTCTGCATCCTAATAGTCAGAACATGTGATGTTGCTTTACATGGCAAAAAGGAGTTAGCAGATGTCATGACATTAAGGATCTTGAGATGGGAGGATATTCTGGGTGGGTCTGAAATGGGATCCCAAATGTTCTTGTAATAGGGAGGCAAAGAGACATATCCGTACAGAGAGAAAACAGGTGTGAAGATGAATGCATGGGTCTGAGGGATGCAAGAAGCTAGAAAGGCCACAGATGGTTCCTCCCCTAGAGTCTCCAAAAGGAACAAGCCCCACTGACACCTTGACTTTAGCCCATGAAACTGATTTCAGACTCTGGCTTCCAGAGCTGAAGAGCATATATTTGCATTGTTTTGAGGCACTGAGTCTGTCATAATGTGTTGCAGCAGCCTAGGAAGCTGGTCCACGGTAGGAGGCAGCCCCGGGGAGGAATGATGGTCCAGGCTCAGAAGCCATGCATGTCACCTCCCCTCATGTTCCATGGGCGAGAACCTGGCCACATGGCAGCTCCCAACTCCAAGGGAAGCTGGGAAATGTAGTAGAGCTGGACACCCACATGTCCACTTAGTACCGAGGAGGGTGGGGGCGCTGGGTGGACAGCTACATCTCCGTCACACGTGTTGTATTGAGTCCTACAGCCCTGCGTGGTGGTGCAAATGCCCCAGGTCCCATCTGCACTCTAAGTCAGGGACTGGTTTGCTCAGGTCCTGGACATAAGGCTGTCTGGACATCCCTCTTTGGCTGCATGGGTTTTTAAAATTTTTCTTTATTTTTATTTTTTTGAGACAGGTTCACACCATGTTGCTCCAGCTGGTCTTGCACTCCTGGGCTCAAGTGATTCCTCCCACCTCGGCCTCCCCAAGTAGCTGGGACCACTGGTGCGCCCCTGGCTGCGTGCTTCTTTTACAAGCGTGGGTGACCCAGGCCCAGCAGCTTTGCAGTTGCAGGCCCACTCAGCACTTTGCATTTCTCTTCATTTCTGGCTCACAGAGATATCACTTTTGTTTTGTTTTGTTTTGTTTTTTTGATAGAGTCCCGCTGTGTCTCCCAGGCTGGAGTGCAATGGCGCGATCTCAGCTCACTGCAACCTTCACCTCCCGGGTTTGAGCGATTATCCTGCCTCAGCCTCCCAAGTAGCTGGGATTACAGGCGCCTGCCACCATGCCTGGCTTATTTTTGTATTTTTATTAGAGACGGGGTTTCACCAGGTTGGTCAGGATAGTCTCGGACTCCTGACCTCAAGTGATCCACCTGCATCGGCCTCCCAAAGTGCTGGGATTACAGGCGTGAGCAACCACGCCCAGCCACCAGTTTTGTTTTTGTTTTTGTTTTTATTTTTTGAATTTTAGTAGAGATGGGGCTTCACCATGCTGGCCAGGCTGGTCTCAAATTCCTAACCTCAAGAAATCCGTCTGCCTTGGCCTCCCAAAGTGCCGGGATTATAGGCATGAGCCACGGCGCCCGGCTTCGACCTATTTTTGAGCACAGCTATACTTCTTGCTTTGCAAATTTTACACTGTATGTGTAATTCCTGTGGCCAGCCTCAGTCTCTGCCACACATTCTCCTGGGGAGCACAATGGGCATGTGGAAGAGTGTGCTGCCCCTTTCTCTCTGGGAGCCACTCTGAAGCACCCTGCTCTTCACCGGCAGCAGACTGGTCTTTCTAAGCCACGAACGCTGCCCTCCTGCTGAAAAGTCTGCAGTGAGCTTTGTCTTTCCTTCTCTGTAAAATTAGCCCAGCTAATTTTTGTACTTTAATTTTAGAGACGGGGTTTCACCATGTTGGCCAGGCTGGTCTTGAACTCCTGACCTCAGGTGATCCACCTGCCTTGGCCTCCCAAAGTGCTGGGATTACAGGCATGAGCCACCGCGCCTGGCTGCTATATTTTCTTTACATGTTTTCTTGAATAAAATACATTTTCTTCAACCTAAAAGTTCATTTTTCCAATTTTAATAGAAATAAGAACATTTCCGTGGGCGCCCAAAGATATGTCCACAGCCTAATCCTCAGCACCTATGACTATGACCTCTTATGGCAAAAGGTGTGACACAGTGAGGGACTTGAGAGGAGGGGTTTGTGCTGGATCAATACAGTCACAGGGCTCCCTCTGAGATGGACACCACCGGCTATGCCTGCTTTTTTGACTAGATGATTTCATACCTCTGTAGAGGCAGAAATTAACCTTTAAAAAACAGGCAGCAATGTGGCCTGGCAATGTGGTGGCTCACACATGTAATCCCAGTGCAGGAGGGTCACTTGAGCACAGGAGTTCGAGACCAGCATTAGCAACACAGCAGGACCCAGTATCTACAAAAATATTAAAAAATTAGAGGCCGGGCATGGTGGCTCACGCCTGTAATCCCAGCACTTTGGGAGGCCGAGGCGGGAGGATCACCTGAGGTCGGGAGTTCGAGACCAGCCTGACCAACATGGAGAAACCCTGTCTCTACTGAAAATACAAAATTAGCCAGGCAAAGTGACGCACGCCTGTAATCCCAGCTACTCGGGAGGCTGAGGCAGGAGAATTGCTTGAACCCGAGAGGCAGAGGTTGCAGTGAGCTGAGATGGCGCCATTGCACTCCAGCCTGGGCAACAAGAGGGGAACTCCATCTCAAAAAAAAAAAAATTAGCTGAGTGTGGTGGCACGTGCCTGTAGTTCCAGCTACAGCTACTTGGGAGGCTGAGGTGGGAGGATCACTTGAGCCCAGGAGATCGAGGCTGCAGTGAGCCTTGATTGCACCACTGCACTCCAGCCCCTGTCTCTAAAGATTAAACAAACAAACAAAAAAAAACAGTCAGCAATGTAAAAAAAAAAATTTTTTTTTTCAGAGATGGGGTCTATATTGCCCAGGCTGGTCTTGAACTCCTGGGCTCAAGCAATCCTCTGGCCTTGCCGCTCAAAGTGCTGGTATTACAAGCCTGGCCAACAATCCTTGTGCACAGAAAATGCAAATTAGCTGTGTCCAGTTAAATGCAATTGACCTTTGCACTAGAGATAGAGCAGTTTTTGCAAATTCATTTCAGCATTCGTCTTCCGTTTTTTTTTTTTTTGACACAGGGTTTCTGTTGCCCGTGCCGGAGCGGTCCTTTTGCCTCAGCCTCCAGAATAGCTGGGACCACAGGTAAACGTCACCATGCCTGGCTAATTTTTTTCTTAAAAAAAATTTTTTTTTTTTGGTAGAGACAGGGTCTTGCCATGCTGCCCAGGCTGGTCTCAAATTCCTGACCTCCAGCAATCCTCCTGCCTTGGCCTCCCAAAGTGTTGGGATTACAGGCGCGAGGCACTGCATCTGGCCAAATTCTTTAAACAATTTGTAACAACTTATGATGTATTCATTATCGAGTTAAATAAAATATTTGACGTGTTCATTTTATATGTGTATGAAGGTCATGATTTTACCTTTAAAAAAATGGTCAACACCTGACATTTCCTTCCGCCACCCGCACTTCCAATTCATCCTCACATCTGACAGTTTAGCTTTCTAAATGCCTCTTGCATCTATCCACTTCTCCCCATCTTACCTGCCACCAGCGGTCTGCCCGAATTGGCTACATTAGGCTCTACCTGGCCCTTCTCCCATCCATCTTCCACACAGCAGCCAGAGTGATCTCATTACAATTCAAACTTCATTATGTCTTATTTATTTATTTAGCGATGGCGGGCGGGGGCGAGGGTCTCACTATGCTGACCAGGCTGGTCTCGAACTCCTGGCCTTAGGCGATCCTCCCATGTCAGCCTCCCAAAGTGTTATGATTACAGGCGTGGGCCACTGCGCCTGGCCCAAACTTCATGATGTCTCTTATCAGCTTAACTTCCTCCGAGGACTTCCCGTGTCTCCCAGAATAAAGACCGAGGTCTTCGCTGTGCTCTATCGGCCTCTGCATGACCTGGCCCCTCTCACACCACAGCTCCGCTGCACCACTAGCCCTCTACCATGCTGAGCTGAGCCTCCTCCAGTTCCCCTGCTGCAAGACCGTTCCTGCCTTGGGACCTCTGTTGGCCCTGCTGTTGGAACCTGCTGTTGGCCTGCCTGGAAAATTCTTCCCTCCTTACCTTGTTTACTCTTATAGGGCCTTCACATCTTGGCTAACATGTGAATCGCCCAAAGAAACCTCTGGTCTCCCAGGGGTTCAGGTCCTACCGTCTCCCCAATACGATGTTATGAAACTCTCACTTCTTGGCATTTATCTCATTTCCCAGGTGAGTACCCATGTGGTTTAACGCTTGACTCACCTTCTAGGCTGCTATGTCCCTGTGGCCGGGGCTCGCGTCCCTGGCACGCATGTGGCCCTTTCTTGGAGGGGAGGTGCATGGTGAGCGGACGAGGACGGCTGAGGGCGCGCGCGGAGGGAGGATGGAGAGATGAAGAGGCTCCCCGCTCCCGGACTCAGGGCACGTGCGTCTCCTCGGCTGGCTTCCTTCCCCCGGCCCCGGGCAGCGCCGCGGATCCTGAGACCCCGCCGCGGGCTGTGTGCTGCTCAGCGCCCATCCTCTGCGCGCGCAACGCTACTTCCGGGCGAGCTCTGCAGACTCGCCACAGGCCGGGCTAGCGCTTAGCCAGCTGCGGGCGGACCCCCGGGACTCTTGCGGGCCAAGACGCGGGAGGAGGCGGGGCAGGGGGCGGGGTCGCGCGGGGACCCGGATGCGGCCCCGCCCCCGCCCTCGGAACCGGAAGTAGAGCCTGGTGCCTGGGAGCGGCTGGCGCGGCGGAATCCAGGGCCGACCCGGGCCGGACCGACCCCAGGCGGCGGTGAGCGAGCGCGGCGTCCGCCCGGGGTGCAGGCCGGGCTCTGCTTCTTCCCTCCTGTGGCGTCGCCTGGCCGCGAAAGGGGAAGGAAGCGGCGGCCGCAGCGGTCTCACCGCTCTTCCGCTTGCGGTTTCGGGGGCCGGGGCAGAGTGGCGAGGCTTTCCCGGCCTGGGGCGGGGCAGGGCGAGGGCCGGGGGTCCGCGAGGGCCACGAGGACGGGTCTGGGCCCAAGGAGGCCGGGCAGGGGGCAAGGGGGCACGGAGGGCTTGGGGCTGGGGTCCGCGGAGGAAGGTTAGAAAGGGGCCAAATTGGGGTATCAGCTCTGAGGGGAGGGTCCCTGGGCGCCGGGGGGCTCCAGGGCAGGAGAGGGGCCAGGCTGGGAGGGGTCTTGGGTCCGAGGGAATAGGAGAGGGGGATGGGCTCCGAGGGGGAGGGTATTAGGGCCCGAGGGAGAGGGGCTGGGCCTGTGGGGTTCGGGGGTCTGAGCGGAGGGGGCCGGGGTTCGAGGGGCCAAGGAAGGTGGGTGTGGGGGGTCTCAAGGAAAGGGCGAGGGGTCTGAGAGGGAGGTGTCTGGGTGCAGAGGGAAAGGGATGAGGTCCGAGGGGAGGAGATTGGGGTCTGACGGGAAGGGGTCCAGGCGCAGAGCTACTGGGATGGGGTCCGAGGGAAGGGAATTGGGGTTCGAGGGGAAGGGGTCGGGGCTCGGAGGAAAGGTATAGGGTCCGAGGGGAGGGGATTGGGGCTCCAGGGGAAGGGATCCAGGCGCAGGGAAAAGGGATGGGGTCCGCGGGGTCAAGGCGGTTGGGGTGCGCGACTTTGAGGGGCTCGCTGTGGGACGTGGCGGAGCAGCTGGGGATCCGCCCGGCCTGCACCTGAGCGGAGGTTTTGCAATCAGGTCAGTGGAGGCAGCGAGGCGCGGCTGCAGCTAGTCGTGAGGCTCTAAATTTGGAACCGTCCCTCCTTCGGGGTGTGTTTAAAATCACCAGAACGGTGCTTTGGGGCTTTCTGTTACGTTTCCATCACCTGGATAGTCTAAGGGATGCCTGATCCCTGAAGCTGGAAGGCCTTGGGTGAGAAGGGACAGGGCTTCCTCCCGCTGGAATCTGTGGACGTTTGGGGCCCCTTGGGGAGGAATTCATTTTCTGCTGAAGGAAGCTCCGGAGGCATCCGGTGAGCGCTCCCTGGAATCCCATGCGCTCCCTTTGGGCTCAGTGTTGACTTGGCTGCGCAGGCTCTGTCGGGGGGACTTCACCCACTAGGTCCTTCAGGCATGATCCAGCCCTCAAGCCCGGCCGGGCCCAAGGCCGTGGCGCAGGAGGGGCTGGCCGCCTGCCCCTGTCTCCATTCACGTGTTTGACCGTGTGGGTGAGTCACTGGCTCCAGAGCACTGAGTCAGTCCTGTTTCTCCTCTGGTTAGAGAAGTATTCGCCAGATACTCAAGGAACAAGGAAGAGTCTTTTAAGTGGGACTCAATAAAAAGTTGGGGAGGCAGGGTTGTTTTGATATTAGGTCCCCTAGAACTAGAAGCTAACCTTCTGCTATATCTTACTGAAAAGAAATTTCTTTTGACCTGGGGCAGGGGTGCGGTGGCTCACACCTGTAATCCCTGCACTTTGGGAGGTCAAGGTGAGAGGATCGTTTGAGGCCAGGAGTTCCAGACTAGCCTGGGCAACACAGGGAGACCTTGTGTCTACAAAAAAAGAAATTCGCTGGGCATGTTGGCTTGCACCTGTTGTCCTAGCTACTTGGGGCGCTGAGGCAGAGGATCTCAAGCCCAGGAGTTGGAGGCTGCATTGAGCTCGATCGCACCACTGTACTCCAGCCTGGGTGACAGAGCGAGACCCTGTCACCCAGGCTGGAGTGCAGAGGCTCTTCACAGGTGCCATCTAGCACACTGCAACCTTGAACTGCTGGCCTTAAGCGATCCTCCCACCTCAGCCTCCCAAGTAGCTGGGACTGCAGGCCCAGCTAAAGCTGACTTTTAATTGTAGCATTTTGATGGACTTGTTTTTAAAACACTTTTAAAATGACAGCACACATAATCGGCAATTCAGATCTTCAGTCTGTGCCACGCAGTAGGTGCTCAGAAAAGGTGTCCTGAGAGTGTGAATTGCTGTGAGCGCTGGTTGCTGCCTTGTGTTGCAGTATTCCCATGGCCTGGGCCAGCCAAGAGCAGGGGACTGTGCTCCAGGAGCAGGCTTGGCTTTCACTGTGGCCCAGGCCCACCCCATCTGCTCACGCACTGCTTTGAGTAAACGGAGTAAATGTTGGGGGCGGGGTTTCCCTTGAGTAAGTGTGGTGTAGGGAGTGTGCCTGTGATGGTGATTTTGGCTACGCAAGTGTCTGTTTCCTTTCTCCTCCTGCTCTGCCATAGATGCTGAGGCTAATGGAAAGCTGATGGTGGACGGATGGTTCTGTCCTGTCATTTAAAACATTCTTCTGCCAGGCTCGGTGGCTCACACCTGTAATCTCAGCACTTTGGGAGGCTAAGGGCAGGTGGATTGCTTGAGCCCAGGAGTTTCGAGATCAGCCTAGGCAACATGGGGAAACCCCATCTCTGTTAAAAATAGAAAAATTGGCCGGGTATGGTGGCTCACACCTGTAATCCCAGCACTTTGGGAGGCTGAGGTGGGCAGATCACGAGGTCAGGAGATTGACACCATCCTGGCTAACACAGTGAAACACCGTCTCTACTAAAAAAAAAAATACAAAAAATTAGCCGGGCGTGGTGGTATATGCCTGTAGTCCCAGCCACTCAGGAGGCTGAGGCACCAGAATCGCTTGAACCTGCGAAGTGGAGGTTGCAGTGAGCCGAGATCACACTATTGCACTCCAGCCTGGGCAAAAGACTGAGACT
Organism: Homo sapiens; assembly: GCF_000001405.40. Taxonomy (NCBI): domain Eukaryota; kingdom Metazoa; phylum Chordata; class Mammalia; order Primates; family Hominidae; genus Homo; species Homo sapiens. The sequence goes on from NW_021160005.1 coordinate 162,757, forward strand.
CCATCTCAAAAGAAAAAAGAAAAAGAAAAATTAGCTGGGTGTAGTGACAGGTGCCTGTAGTCCCAGCTACTCAGGAGGGTGAGGCAGGAGAATCGCTTGAACCCAGGAGGCAGAGGTTGCGGTGAGCTGAGATCACACCATTGCACTCCAGCCTGGGCAACAGAGTGAGACTTCGTCTCAAACAAAAAAAAACAAAAAAAAAAAGAGAGAGAAAAATCAGCTTGGTGTGGTGGTGCATTCCTGTAGTCCTAGCTACTCGGGAGGCTGAGGTGGGAGGATCACCTGAACCTGGGACACAGAGGTTGCAGTGAGCTGAGATTGTGCCTCTGCACTCTAGCCTGGGCCACAGTGCAAGACCCTGTCTCAGAAAAAAAAAAGAAAAAAAAGGCTGGTGGGGGGCTTTTAGGCGCGGTGGTTCGTGCCTGTAATCCCAGCACTTTGAGAGGCTGAGGCTGGCAAATCACTTGAGGCCAGGAGTTGGAGATCAGCCTGGACCAACATAATGAAACCCCATCTCTACTAAAAATACAAAAAATTAGCTGGGTGTGATGGCGCATGCCTGTAATCCCAGCTACTCGGGAAGCTGAGGCAGGAAAATCACTTGAACCTGGGAGACAGAGGTTGCAGTGAGCCGAGATCGCGCTGTTGCACTCCAACCTAGGCAACAGAGCAAGACTGTCTGAAAAAGAAAAAAAAAGTTATTGTGTAGAGGAATTTTTCACTCTGTCTAGACAGCAAGATTACTTCACGTTTGTGCAATCTTGATTTGTACACTGACGTTTGCAAGGAAGGTTTAATGTTGAGGATGGACAGAGTCATTATCTTCTTTTGAACCGTATTGTAACAGCTTTATCGAGATATAATTCACATACCATACAATACGCCTGTGTAGTGTGTACTCTCCACTGGTTTTTAGTATCTTCATGCAGTTGTACAACTGTCACCACAGTCAATTTCAGAATAATTTTATCACCTCAAAAAGAAGCCCTTGTACCTTTTAGCCATGACCTCCCTATCCTCACCACCACCATCCGCCCAGCCCTGGGCAACCAGCAATGTATCTTTTGTCTCTGTAGATTTGTGAACTCCAGACATTTCCTAGAAATTGAATCGTATAATATGTGGTCTTTTGTGCGTGGTTTTCCTTTGCGCAATGGATTTGAGGTCCCTCCACGCTGTAGCAGGTGTCACTGCTGGATCCTCTTTGTGGCAGAATAAAATGCCTTTGTGTTAGGTAGACCACATGTTATGTATCTATCAGTTGATGGACATTTGGAGTGTTTCTGTTTTTTGGCTGCTATGAATAGTGCTGTTCTGAACACTCACGCACAAGTTTTTGTGTGCTTATACTTTATTTCTCTTGGGCATAGACCTAGGAGTGGAGTTGCTGAGTCATACAGTACCTGAGTTTAACCTTCTGAGGAACTGCCAGACCTTTTCCATTTAACATCCCTGTCAGCAGTCTATGAGGCTTCCAGTTTTTCAACACTGTTGCTGAGATTTGTCATTGGCTGTTTTATTTTAGTCATCCTAGTGGGTATGAGGTGGGTTCTCATTGCAGTTTTGATTTGCATTTCCTTGGTGGTTAATGACATTGAACAAACTTTTCCTGAGCTTGTTGGCCATTTGTATATCTCCTCTGAAGAAATGTCTCTTCAGATCCTTCAATCATTTTTAAATGGGGTTATTCGTCCTTTTTATTGAATTATAAGAGTTCCTTTTTTTTTTTTTTTTTTTTTGAGATGGAGTCTCACTCTGTCGCCAGGCTGCAGTATAGTGGCGCAATCTCGGCTCACTACAGCCTCTGTCTCCCGGGTTCAAGCAGTTCTCCTGCTTCAGCCTCCCAAGTAGCTGGGACTACAGGCATGCGTCACCACGCCCTGTTAATTTTTGTATTTTTCGTAGAGACGGGGTTTCACCATGTTGGCCAGGATGGTCTCGATCTCTTGACCTAGTAATCCGCCCGCCTCGGCCTCCGAAAGTGCTGGGATTACAGGCGTGAGCCACCTCACCTGGCCAAGAGTTCTTTATATATTCTGGATCTACAGTTCAAAATACTTTTCTCTCAGGATCGTCTTGTCACCTTCTTGATGAAGCACAAAATTTTTAATTTTGTACAATTTATTTTTTTCCTCTAGTGTTTTGGTGTCATATCTAAGAAACTATTGCCAAATTCAAAGTCACAAAAATTTACACCCTTTTAGGATTTTAGTTCATTTTTGAGTTAATTTTTCTGTATGGTTTTGAGGTAGGGCTCTAGAGGCTTTTTATCTTTGGATCCACAAAACAATCAAACTTATTTCCTATTGGTTATTTTTGTGATTGTTTTTTAAATTTCCAATATTGAGAGTATAAAATTGTGGATCTGAGCCTATCCTTAGCTGCTCATGAGTAGATTTTTATTATTTACTTTATGATTGATTTATGTATGAGACAGGGTCTCTCTCTGTCTCCCAGGCTGGGGTGCAGTGGTGTGATCATGGCTCACTGCAACCTTGAGCTCCTGGGCTCAAGCAGTTCCCCCACCTCAGCCTCCTGAGTAGCTGGGACTACAGGTATACACGACCATGCCTGGCTAAATTTTTAGGCAGAGTTGTATAGATGCTTGCCGATTACACTAATAACTGCAGTAACCAGAATGTAGCAAGCAATCTGTAGAAGTTAGGATTGCCGAAGGGAACTGGGGAGAGAGATGGAGCAAACAGTTGGGTCAGAAACCAGATAGGAAATTAATTAATTACCAGGAGGGCCAGCCAGGCACCATCCCCTAGTTCCTAATGCGTGAGAAACCACTCTGCCTGTGACCGGCTTGTTCCTAGGGACAAGGGGATTTCATTCGTCCATGTGTGTTGTCTAGCAGTATGGTGTCCAGTTGAGGCTGATGTGTGGTCCTAGGGAAGGGGTCGTGTGCTTGGCCACCCTCTGGGGAGCTGGAGTCTTGCTCCCTGCGCGGTAACCGTGTACGTTCATTAGGAATGCAGCCCGCCTCCTCCTCGGCTCTCCAGCTGCCAGTCTCATGTCTTGATAGACAGTCACCATACTGGTTTTTCCTCCCGGCCATATCATGATCCTCTCAAGGAGTGTTTTTCTTATATTATTGTTTTAAAAAGCTCACAGTAACAATTTTATTTTATAATGTCATTAATTAGAATGAATAAAAAGTGAAAATCTCTAAGAATTATGGCAAACAGTAAATGCATACTAGCAATTAAGGCAATAATTTCTGTTTGCATTCATAAGAAACATCATGTAGGCCGGGCGCCATGCCTCACACCTGTAATCCCAGCACTTTGGGAGGCCAAGGCAGGCGGATCACCTGAGGTCGGGAGTTTGAGACCAGCCTGACCAACATGGAGAAAACCCGTCTGTACTAAAAATAGAAAATTAGCTGGGCGTGGTGGCGCCTGCCTGTAATCCCAGCTACTTGGGAGGCTGAGGCAGGAGAATCACTTGAACCCGGGAGGTGGAGTTTGCGGTAAGCCGCGATTGTGCCATTGCACTCCAGCCTGTGCAACAAGAGTGAAACTCCATCTCAAAAAAAACAAAACAAAAAAGACAAAAAGTCATCATGTAGTTAGAAATCTTTTAAAACTTATTTCTTTAGTTTCTCTCTGTTGAACTTTTTTATTAGTAAAATGCAAGTCTTCCCATCCTCCTCTCAGATTTCATTACAAAACCTTGTTACGTTTGGGAAGATTTCTGAAGTTTTCTAAAAAGATCTCCACACAGAAGGGTTTGCCCAGGGAGCTGCTCAACATACATCCTTCTCAGCTTTTTACCCTTAATCTTTTTACAGACGGAATCAGTCCCCAATGCCTGGAAATTCCTCATTGGATTACTGTGTTTTAAACAGAATTTCGTGAACAGCCTTTTATCTCCAAGCGGAAAGAAAGGTACTTGTGCATTGTGAACATCCTAACATTCTTTTCCTGTGGATGGTAAGGGCAAAAATCCCTTTAACAGGAAACGGGGGAGGTTGCTGTTTCTGTGGATTTACTGGGAGAGAGATGATAATATTCTGGAAGGAAATTTCATTGTTTAAAAAATAAAGTCAGGTTTCTGTTGCATATGACTTAGAGGAGACAATTGCAGAAAACTCTGGAATTGAGGAAGAGAACCATTCCTGTCCTCCCTGAGGGGAAATCTGGCCCCTTCCCCACCCCATGAACATGGGTGGGGCCCCCAGGCACAGGATTGTGAAGCTCGCAAGTGCCCACCCCGCTCGCTGGTGAAGCTGTGTCCGGGAAGATGAGCAGAGACTGTGCTCTGCTAATCTCTCCCCGATGAGCCTGAAAAAGTACCAGGCAAAGACACCTGCCGCCTTTCTCCTTTGCCTTGGGGGTGAAGGTGGCCTCGCCAGCCCTGCAGGGACTCCCATCCTTTCTTGCAGCCACCTTCTCAGTGGTGGGAACCATGGGCAGCTGAAGTCCTGCAGGCGGGCAGCCCCCTCGCCAGGGCAGCATGGTGCCATGGGGCGGCCGGAGACCAAGCATCCCGTTTCTCTTTCCTGCAGCCGTTGCTTCATTTATAAATGGGCGCGTTGGGACAAGATGGACTGGTTGTGCCTTTCCGTTCTGAGATTCTAGTTCATCTGTTTTCTAAAATCCTGGCAAAAGCAGATCACTCTGGAAATTCTTGCCATGCTTTGGGCATTGACAGAAGGTTCCAGGGGCACTGTTAGTCCTGCTACACCCCTTGGCAGACGGTTCTTCCCCAAGAGACAAAGTCGCACCTAGAAATTTGAGAGCACGCTGCCCTGATTGGTCCCTCACTGTCACATTGGATTTGGACTTGAGACCCAGCCAGGCTGGAGGGAGAGGAGCCAGATGGGACATTCTCAAGCTGCGAAGGGGTTTTGTCCAGTCCTGATTCAGGGCGCTAGAGTCCCAACATGGCACCTGAGAAAAAGTGAATTGGGTGTCCTCAGTTCAGACCCCTGGGCACAGCTTATGGTTGTTTGATTTAAAATAATCTCTCAGTTGCTCTGTGGCCTATGTGTAATTGTATTACTATTTCTGTGGAAAAGGAATCACTTCTTTTTATACATAGTTTGAAAAAAAAAAAAAAACCTTAAAATTTTATATTTTACCACTGCAGTTACAAGAATTGTCTTGTTAGGGTTTACAGATGTGCCATTGTTCTGTATAACAGAGAAAACCTTCCAGTCTTCAAGGGCTGAGGGAGAAGGTGGCTGCCCACTTGCAGAGCTGCCTGATAGAGGAAAAGGTGGCATTTTATATTCCTGTTTTCTTCCAAGTAGAGAGTAAAGCAATTCTCCAATAAACTACTTGAAACATTTATTAAATTGTAAGTCTGAATTAGGAAAATTATTGTTATGGTTTCAGTAAGCACTTGAAATCAAAATGGGTGCACTTTTTAAAAATGTGTGATAAAATACACATACCATGAGATTTACCATTAGTAACATTTAGTATATTTATAATACATAATCCAAAATGGTGCTTTTATTTTTGGTTGGAAACTATCATCATATGATTGAACAGAACAGGAATATGTTCTTAATGAATAAATAAGTGCACACACGACTTTTTTATTTTCCAGAAAATTTTCTCACTCAAGGTGAAGCCAAATAGTATTTCCAGTATATTTCTGACGTCAGGTGACGGCAGTGTTAGAACCCCGAGGTGAAATTTCTTTTACTCCTGTGGTTGTCAGTCAGGCTTATGGATCATGAAGGATTGGCTGGTCCTGCAGCCTCGTCCTCCTGGGTTGCCTAGAATCTCGGTAGTTTTGGCCAAAGGGCTCATCTGCTGGCCTCTGTGGATGGCGCCCTGAGGCCTCCGTAACCCTCCCCGGCTGCTCTTTCAGATGTGGAAAGCTTCAGCAGGCCACGCTGTGTCCATCGCCCAGGATGACGCGGGGGCCGATGACTGGGAGACCGACCCTGATTTTGTGGTAGGAGCCGCCAGCCTTTGCTTTCCTCTTTCATGAAGTGGAAGTGGCTCTCCTGGGTTTTTCTTTGATGGGGTGGTGGTTTGTCTGTGTCACAATCCAGGCTGTGAGATTTACTGGTCGCTTTTCTTTTCAGAATGATGTGAGTGAGAAGGAGCAAAGATGGGGTGCCAAGACGGTGCAGGGCTCCGGGCACCAGGAGCATATCAAGTAAGAGGCGTCGCCACCACCCTCCCGAGGGCCCCTCTGCGGATGGAGCCCCAGGTGCAACAGGGCCCATGGTCATCTGTGGAGGGACAGCCCGTGTGGAAACTGCATTTATCTTCTTGACCTGATACCCATGCAGTAAATGAATATAAGACACACACATATATGTGTATTTGTGTAATGTGTGTGTTTATATGTGTATATTTAGATACTTCTGTGCTCAGTAATTTTTAAATTCCCATTGCAAACAATTTCCGTATTTATAATTTTAGAGTGTCCGCTTCTCAGTATTGTGGCTTTTATCAGGGAACATTTGTCCCTAAGCTCTACCTTACAAGCGAGAGGTTTCTAAAGTATGAGATGTCTGAATAACTGAGACCTTAAATGCCCTGTCCCTTTTTTTATTATCTGGAAATGATTATGTGTTAATAGTGAGGTACTGTGAGCTTTGTGTTCTTATCGAAAGCCCAGAGTTGGGCACTGAGTGAACCCTGTCATTGTTTCTCACTTGGCACTATCTAAAATGCCAGCTCTTGGGGCAGTTTTTTTTTTCGTCAGAAAGTGTAGATAAAAGGAACTTTTAAAATATGCTCAGACTTTTATTTTAGGCCACGCTGGGTTCAGAGTGGATCCTCCTTTCCCTGGCTGTGAAGGCAGCACCACTGACCCGGTGACCGCCTCAGTATCCCGGGAAGACTGTCCCGCTTGACCACGGTCCCTTCAGCTGAGAAAGATTTAGTCCTTCCTCCAGAAAAGAAGGCACAGCCTGCACAATGGCTTTTTATTTTGTTGTTAAAGATTTATTTATTTATTTATTTATTTATTTTGAGACAGGGTCTCACTCTGTCACCCAGGCTGGAGTGCAGTGGTGCAATCATAGCTCACTGCAGCTTTGACTTCCTGGGTTCAAGCGATCCTCTCACCTCAGCTTCCTGAGTAGCTGGAACCATGGGCGCACACCACAATGGCTAGCTAAGTGCTTTTATTTCTTGTAAAGATGAGGTCTTGCTTTTGTTGCTCAGGCTGGTCTTGAACTCCTGGGCTCAGGTGATTCTCCTGCCTCAGCCTCCCAAAGTGCTGGGATCACAGGTGTGTGCCGCCGCACCTGGCCCCCAGTGGCTTTTTATACACAAGTTTTAGTCCCTCTCTGGCTTGCTCAGCACACTCCCTTCCACAGAAGCAGCTTCGGAACTCCGGTGGCCGTGCGGCTGCCCAGGACAAGAGACTGGAATGGGGCTGACTTGGGAGTCCACTGTAGCCTTGGGTATTTGCTATGGCGTTAAGCAGACTCCTGAATTCGTTGAGTCATCATACCTCTTCTCATCTCTTCTGTTCCCTGTGGCTTCAAAACATGTCTCGGAGGGTGGCTTGGAGAAAAAACAACTCTCCAGTACAAAACCCTTGGGCTGGTTAGGATTCAGAGAGGAACACATGGGGAATAAGCCCATTCTTCATGCTCTGGGGCCTTCCCAGGTTTTAGGAGTGGTGTCTTTCTTTCTCCTGCTCATAAGGGTATTGGGCGGTTTCCAAGCCTGGTTTGTATTTCATCTTCAATTCTAGGATTGTCGTCCAGATGTCAAAGGTGGCGTCCTGGTGTCTCCTGGGCAGAAAGTCCGAATGCCAAAGTGGCCTTCTTATCACTCTGGGGTCTCTCAATGACAGCTGTGTCTGGCCTACCAGATTTGAGCAAACCTTGTCATCTGTTTCATTATCTGCTGTATTAAAATTTTTTAATGGCATTTAGATGTTAAATTCTGAAACGCTTTCCTCTCATCTTTGAATGTATAAAAAAGCTGGAGTACTTCAAGTACAGACGAATCATCTGAATGTTCAGCACCACTGGACTTCTGCCAGTGGCCGAGGAAGGGACCATAGCCTCGTGTTTCCCCCTCTACCTCTGGATGATTACAGACTAGCTTTCCTATTTTCTGCGTGTGAAATAAAGGTCAGGCTTCAGTAGAGCCATCTTTAGCGGGGATTTGGGATGATCCCAGTGTCTGCCTTCAGATTCGTGTTCTGTCTCCCACAGAGCATGCGTCTGATACTGCAGACTGCCGAAGTGGGTGTACCAGCCGGCAGAATAGTCAGGAAGGCACAGTGCAGGGAGAGAATCGGTGAACATCAGATAAGCAGATTTACAAATTTACAAAGATAATGTCACCTGTTCTTATTTATCATACCAGGAGGCAAAGCTGCACGTCTGTTTTATTGATCTGTTCCTATTTTCATCTCTTCCATCAAGCATACACAAGCTGAGGGAGAATGTCTTTCAAGAGCATCAGACCCTTAAGGAGAAGGAACTTGAAACAGGACCAAAAGCTTCCCATGGCTATGGAGGGAAATTTGGTGTGGAACAAGACCGAATGGATAAGGTAAGTGGCCCGCGGCTGCCTATGCCAGGCTCCTGGTGTGCTTGGACCACTAGACTGGGTGGCAGAGTCGTCCCTCAGTCTTTCCTTAGATCAGCAGTTTTGAGTCCATCTGCTGAGGTTGCGATTTGCCCGGAGTAGACCCCTGTTGATTGGACTTACTCATGAAGTACTCTAGCTTTCTTCAAAGCTCTTTAGGAATCCTCAGAGGTGCTGGAGCACGGGTGTTAGTGGGGAGGCCCAGAGAGGGAGATTGGCCCTCAGAGGCAGCCTTGTGATAGGACAGAAGTCCAGAAGCATCCTGGCTCTAGGTGTCATCACTGTCAATGCCTGTGGTTCCAGTCTGTAGCCTAAGTCATGCCAGTCCGAAGACCAAAGTCAAATCTGTAGGTCCCCATGGTTCACAGCACACACGGAATCCAGCCAAAGGCCTGGCTAACATCCTTCATGCGTTCAGTGACCATCAGAGCAGTCTCCCTCGTGTAAATTCGGCGCGTACCAGGCTGGGGACAGTGCTCACTCTATTCGAGAGGTCTGGGCAAGCCTCCCAGCAGCTGTCATTGATGGGATGCAGACTGCCACGCAGACGTTGATTGAGGACGTTGGCCAAATGCATCCGGCTGCACCCGTGCTTTAGGTCCTCTCTACCTTAAGAAAGGGAGCCACGTTAGCTCAGGAGGGCTACCTTTTCCTTCCTGGAGAGAAGATGGAAGAGATCGCAGTGTGTTTGCATGTTTCTTCAGTAAAACAGACATCCTGGAGGTGAACTTTTGAGTCTGAGCAACATAAGCTTGTTCTGACCTGACAGATGCTTGCCTTTACTCTGTGGAAAGAAGTGTGTTAGCCAGTGTCGGATTCCAGCCGGTAATTCCATACCCCTCTCCCACCTCATGCACCAGCCAGATGAACATTTGAGCTGGGCACGGGATGATGTTGCCGTGTCACAGTGAGCTGCACCTTGCTCTGTCCCCCGCAGAGTAGATGATGTGGTGGGCCGGCAGGGCACCCCAAACCACGACCATAAATAGCCTGGGGGAGGAGTGGGGTGAGGGACCTTCTGCAGGAAAGAGACATGGATGTTGCTGCGTCACTACCACAGAGATGCCCTGACACCGAGAAGAGCAATGTGTGCAGAATCATCATCTTTGGAGTCTAAAAAAAGTCTGGTAGCTTTTAGGAGTGTAAACAGGCAGACGGACCCCTGAGTTCAGTGCAGCGAGCGAAGCAAGTGCACACGGACAGACGGAATCCATGTGTTCAGTGCAGCGAGCGAAGCGTGTGCACACGGACAGACGGAATCCATGTGTTCAGTGCAGCGAGCGAAGCGTGTGCACACGGACAGACGGAATCCATGTGTTCAGTGCAGCGAGCGAAGCGTGTGCACACGGACAGACGGAATCCATGTGTTCAGTGCAGCGAGCGAAGCGTGTGCACACGGACAGACGGAATCCGTGTTCAGTGCAGCGAGCGAAGCGTGTGCACACGGACAGACGGAATCCATGTGTTCAGTGCAGTGAACGAAGCAAGTAGATAGGAGCCTTTCCCACTGCAGACTGAGGCGAGCCCTGTGCTTAGGGGGCTTGTGGGGAGTTAGCGCAGAGAGACATTTATTCTAAAAATGGGGCTCCCTGCTGTGGGTTGGGAAAATTACATATTGGGGAAAAGAAAGGCAACGTGTCAGGAGAGCCTGGTAGGGAAGCTGCTGTGGCTTCTCTGCTGCTGCTCGGCCTGCACCTTTTTTCAGCGCGAATCTCGCTCACCCTAGAACCTGCAGCTCAGGCCTTCCCGAGTGCCAGGAGCTCCCTGGAAGAGCCCTCACTTCCCTCTCTCCTGTGCGGTCTCCACAGCAGCCTCTGCTTCCCTCATGAGCTGTCCTTGCCTCATCCTGCTGTCCTTCCCAGGGAGACTCCCCTCCGGGCTGGGCTTTTCAAGGGTCGGGACTTGTCATCCTCACCTTGTGCCTGGCTCAGTGCCACGTGCCCCCCCCTTAGGCCAGTGCTCTCATGGAACCAAGGAGGCTTATGGAGCCTTGCTCTCACCTCTCAGCCGGCAAGTTGGAGAGCTGTCCTAGCAGGGCGAGTCCAGCAAGGGATGCTGCTGCTGCTCAGTCCCAGCTGGCATCGGGGCCAGGTTAGCGCTCAGCTCAGGTCAGCACCATGGGACAGATACGTTGTCAAAAATAACTCAGGGCCAGGTACGGGACTGGCACCTGTAATCCCAGCATTTTGGAAGGCCGAGGCAGGATGATCTTATCAGCCCAGGAGTTTGAGACCAGCCTGGGCAACATAGCAAGACCCTATCTCTACAAAAACATAATTAACTGGGCATGGTGGTGCACACCTGTAGTCCCAGCTGCTTGGGAGGCTAAGCTGGGAGGATCACCTGAACCTGGGAGGTGGAGACTGCAGTGTCCTGTGATCGCACCATTACAGTCCAGCCTGGGCGACAGAGAGAGACGCTGTCTCAGGAAATAAATAGATTAAACTCAGATTCCAAACCGAAGGGGAAACGGCTTAAGTTATTTGTAACTTGCCCACTCCAGAAACTAAAAAAAAAATAAAAAATTGAAATCTCTGCGTTAAGACTTGAGGAATATGTGCTAGAGACTTCCAGAACAAAAGAAGACATTGAGGACAAGCACACGCGAGAGGAGCCTGGACGGGCTGTCAGGATTCTGTTTATGCTGGGGCCTGAGCACACTGCACCTTTCCCTTGCGGCCAGCGGTGGCTGCATCCATCACGCGGGGCAGGCTTCCTTCTTGATCCCTTGTCTCCTTGCATCCCGTAGCCCTGAGTCTACATATTCAGGCTTCAAGATACAATCTCCCCAGCGTGATTGTTTAATAACAGATTTTGTCAATGTGAAATCGAAGGCAATTTTGGAGATGAATCCCTTTCAATCAAAAAGCTGGAAACTTTGCCTAGTTGTCATTCTGGGCATGTCTTTAGATCAGTTTTCCTGTAACTTCCTTCTGATGAAAACTCATGCTGGGGAATCCCTTTGGCACGTCTGCCTCTGCCACTCCTTCATCTCTGTTTTCTGGGTGAGACCCCGGAGGACACGGATGGGCAGTCTCTGCCACAGAGGGTTTGGAGGTGATGGCTCATGTGGAAAGAGAGTCAGCTGCCAACCTCAAAACAAACGTGGGAAGAAGAGGGCGCAGCACAGGCCCAAGGCTTAGGGCAAGACCTGCTTTTTCAATAGGGGAAATAGTGGACACTCTCTGAGTTGCCTGCTGCGTCAGCACCGGTGTGGGATGCTGCTTGGGTTAGCAGGTTAGCATGAGTGGCTCCACATGCTAGAGGGAGTGAGAAGAGGGGTCCCGATGTGCCGTGGACTTTCTCCACGCCCTCTGCTGGGCCATGTGCCCGCACTGTCTGTGAAGGAGTCCTTGACCCGGCTCTGCTGTGAGGAGGGAGCCTCAGAACCCTGGGGCCTCGGTGTCAGGACTGGAGCAGGGCCAGTGCTTTGAGGTAGGAGATCTTTTCCACTTTGTGGACCAGAGGGTCTCTCAATAGAACTGCCGAACGGAGTTGCTGAATCACACAAGCAGCTGTGGACAGCACACCTGTGAATGGCTGTGGCTGTGTCCCAGAGGCGTTATTTACAGAAGAGCTGGGTGCCGGGTCTGGAAAGCCCAGGGGAACCTTGGGCTTTACCTGCTGGCTTTGGCGAACAGAAGGTCCCCAAACCTGTGTGCGCTGATGGGGGCTGACGACATTAATGATGCTGAAATGAGCTGGCATGGGAGCCGGCAGCTGGCTCCTGCCTGAACAGGGTGCTGCTCAGCGGAAATCCAGTGTGAGCCTGTGTCTTGCAGACTATTTTTGTTTATAGTCTATTAGAACAAAATAGTTTGCTGGCAGACTATTTTTTGTGCCGATTCTTTGGTCATGTGATTCACAGAGGTCCCACTTCAGTAGATGCCAGCAGTCTCCACACCAGCGGGTCTCACGGATCCTGCCACAGGCTGCCAGCTCTGTGTACCTTCTTCATGCCCGGTCGTGTCAGAAATCCCCACTGGTGGCCCCGACCTGTGTCCAGGGTTCGTGTGCAGCTTCCAGGAGCCCAAGGGCTGGGGTGGGCCGTGAAAGCCTGCACCAAGGGCTGGGCGCGGTGTCTCACGCCTGTAATCCCAGCACTTTGGGAGGCCGAGGCGGGTGGATCACAAGGTCAGGAGATGGAGACCATCCTGGCTAACACGGTGAAACCCCGTCTCTACTAAAAATACAAAAAATTAGCCAGGCATGGTGGCGGGTGCCTATAGTCCCAGCTACTCGGGAGGCTGAGGCAGGAGAATGGCGTGAACCTGGGAGGCGGAGCTTGCAGTGAGCCGAGACCCCGCCACTGCACTCCAGCCTGGGCAACAGAGCAAGACTCTGTCTCAAAAAAAAAAAAGCCTGCACCAAGGACCCGGGCCTCCCAGGAGTCGTGTCGCCTTCCTTGGCTCCCCAGATGGGTGTGTTAATGTAAGGTTTCCCTGCACTGACCAGGATGTGGCCTCCCCCAGCCCTGCTCTGGGAGGAAGTGAAGCGCCGCAGTGTTGTTGGTGTCTAATGCTTTGTGTTTGAACCCTGTTCCAGTCAGCTGTCGGCCACGAATATCAGTCGAAACTTTCCAAGCACTGCTCGCAGGTGGACTCGGTCCGTGGCTTCGGAGGCAAGTTTGGTGTCCAGATGGACAGAGTTGATCAGGTGAGTGATGTGGCACTGGGACTGGGGCAGGTTGGGGCAAGGGGGGCGTTCCCCGTAGATCTGAGCCCTGTTGGGCCACTTGTAGTAGCAGGCAGGTGCCCTCCAGCTCTGGGGGACTGCAGAGAGGGGCATCTGCCTCCCAGGATGCTCTGAGAGCCTGGGCTCTCAGAGAGAGGAAGCAGGATGCGGCGGGCTTGCTGTAGCAGTCCCTGCGGTCGCTCTTCACTACGTGCCTCAGTACTGGATGGCCCTGTGTCTGTCCCAATGTGCCAGCAGGGACCGTTTCCACCCGTGTTTCTCACATGTGTGTTACTGTGACAGAGTGACATCAGAGCCTATACCGGGGGGGCAGGATGCGCTCGTGTCCAGGACCCAGGCTTTGCGTCCAGGTGTTGTTGCAGTCATCCTAGGCCCGAGCCTCTTTGATTCTCTTCGGCTCGGGTCTGTTGGCTCTTTTGTTTAATAGAGGAGCGATCAGGAGCCTGGAGGGAGCAGGGAGCTGATGCTGGTCGCAGATTGTGGCTTTGTGACATATTAGCCACGGTTCTGAATTTATGTGTCTGTGAAAGGAGGATGATCATACCTATCTCACGGGTGTTTGCTCAGATGCCCATCGCAGTGCCTGGCTGGTGGGAGTGCACCCCTGGTGGCCACTGCTATTCTCATTACTAATACTAATGTTCTCAGCATGACTTATTTGAGAAGCGAGTTTTTGTGAAGCCCGTGGAATGAATCAGCTGAGCATTCCCTGCTGCCGCATGCTGGGGAGGGCAGGTCACCAGGGATATGGCTTGGCCTGCGCCGCCCACTGGGCCTTGCAGTGGGCCTGTCCGTTTAGGATGCCAGAGCTCTTGCGTCACTGCCACCTGCACCTGGCTTAGGAACCCAGAGGTCACAGCATCATGTGTTTCATATTTTTTTAAATGTCATGTCATGAATTCAGAGAGATTGTTTCAGGGACATTGGAAAGTATTTCTCCCCACTTTTTCATGTGTTTTTGGTCGTCACAGTCTGCTGTAGGCTTTGAATACCAGGGGAAGACTGAGAAGCATGCCTCCCAGAAAGGTAAGACGCGAAAGGTGCAGAAAGAGCCCGCTCCGGGGGCCCCGATGGGGAGAGTCACAGCCACCTGAAGCCGTTTCCCCGCGCTCCGGGGGCCCTGATGGGGAGAGTCACAGCCACCTGAAGCCGTTTCCTGAGCGGTGGCTGTTGCCACAAGGAGGACTCTGCCCTCCTCTTCATGTTTCTGGATCATCTGGATACCACATGATGGATGTATTCCCCGTTACACATCCCCCTCGGAGCCCTGGCATCTGCTGTCATTGTGGGGCTTCTCCCCCTTGTAGCGGAAGCCGCCTTCCCTTCATCTGGGCAGCGCTCCTCCTGGAAAAGAGAGCTCACAGATTGATCGGCAGAAAGCTAACTTCCCCCCAAGGCTAGAAACCAGAGTTGTTAAATTCTTGTTTTCCTTATACACATACGGTCTTAACTGCTGGTGATTAATCTTGATTACATCATGCAGTCTCTTTTTTGAAAGACCAAAGCATATCGCCACCTTAAAGTTCTCAGTTTATTTTTTGCAAGCTTATTTAGTTCTTCCTCCTTTGTGTCATTGCATCATCCGCGGAACAAGCTCTCAGTCCTTACGCAGTCTCGGTGCAGTCTAGGTGGAGGTAGCTGTGGTGTGGGCAGGCGGAGGATCAGGGTCTTGTCTCCCATGTTCAGCTGCATGGCTTTCTTCATATGAGGCTTTCTCTTTCCATTTTTTTCATTTTGTTTTGTTTGTTTGTTTGTTTTGAGACAGAGTCTCGCTCTGTTGCCCAGGCTGGAGTGCAGTGGCACGATCTCGGCTCACTGCAACCTGCGCCTCCTGGGTTCAAACGATTCTCCTGCCTCAGCCTCCCAAGTAGCTGGGATTACAGGTGTGTGCCACTACCCCTGGCTAGTTTTTCTATTTTTTAGTAAAGATGGGGTTTTGCCACGTTGGCCAGGCTGGTCTCAAACTCCTGGCCTCAAGTGATCCGCCCACCTCAGCCTCCAAAGTGCTGGTTCTTTGTATGAAGCTTTCCAGCTTTTACCTGAGCAGTTGATTTTCAAAGTGGGCATGCAGCGTCATTTCTGACTACACAAAGGAACTGCCCTGTAACAGCTGACAGGGCCCAGAACCCCCCCATGCACCTGTTGTGAAACAGGGTCCAGCGTCACCTGTATGGAGCAGTGGGTGGCTTGTTGTACATTTTAAAATGTGCGCTTGATGTGTTTGTGAGTTGTAACCCCTACACACTTTTGCTTAGTTTAACAAAAGGAACAGTGTAGTTCGTCCTCAGGCCCCCGTGCTAATTGCTGCCCTGTCTCTCCAGACTACTCCAGTGGTTTTGGCGGCAAGTATGGCGTGCAGGCCGACCGAGTAGACAAGAGCGCGGTGGGCTTCGACTACCAGGGCAAGACGGAGAAGCACGAGTCACAGAGAGGTGGGGCGGACCCCACGGTCTGTAATCACGCGTTTGCTCCAGAAACACCCACGAGGGCATTTTCTCTCTGCACACGTGATTGTTGTAGATTTTTTAACTGAAAATGTTTGGTGTTCTTTTCGTACCAGTGTATGTGGGCTTTTCCTAATTCGAATGGCTGCACAGTTCCCCATCGTATGAGGATTCCATAGTCCATGTAACCATTCCTTTTTTGAATGTGGAATTTAGGTTATTTATTTATTTATTTATTTATTTTTGGTAGAGATGAGGTCTTGCCGTGTTGCCCGGACTGGTCTTGATCTCCGTGGTCTCAAGCAATCCTCCCCCACCTTGGTTTCCTTAAGTGCTGGGATTACAGGTGTGACCTGTAAATTTTTTTTTTTTTTCTTTTAGACGGAGTCTCGCTCCGTTGCCCAGGCTGGAGTGTAGTGGCGTGATCTCTGCTCACTGCAACCTCCACCTCCCTGGTTCAAGCAATTCTCGTGCTTCAGCCTCCCGGCTAGCCGGGATTACAAGCACACGCCACCACGCCCAGCTAATTTTTGTATTTTTAGTAGAGACGGAGTTCTGCCATGTTGCCCAGGCTGGTCTTGAATTCCTGACCTCAGGTGATCGCCCTGCCTTGGCCTCCCAAAGTGCTGGGATTACAGGTGTGAGCCACTGCGCCCAGCTGAAACTTGACTGCAGGGAACATTCTTGTACCTGTGTTTTGTTCACAAGTGATTATTCAAAAGAATCAACTCCTAGACATGGAATTGCTGGGTCGAAGGCTATTGAATGTAAAATTTCCATAGATACTGCCAAGTTGTCCTTGGAGGCTGTGCTGAGTTCTTCCTTCCCCACTGCATAGCCTGTACACCATCACTCAGAGCGTTTCCCAGGGCTGCAGAGGCTGTGGCCTGCCTGTTTCCCTGTGCCTCTTGTTTGGCCTGCACATTTAAATTTTTAAAAATATTTGCCAACATTTGAAAAGTGAGAGCTTGACTATTTAAAAACTCAAAAAAAAAAAAAATTACCCCAAAGCAAGAAACACCACTGGAAGATCCGACCATGCTGGCTTGGCATTTCCCTGAGGAAAGTGCCGGTGGCCTGGAGGGCAGCTTGGCTTGTAGTTTGTCGCGGCCTGGCCTGGCCTTGCCTTCCTGCCGGTCAGGCCTTGCCTGCCGCACAGAGCTGCTTGCCTCTGCTCTCTGCCTCTTTCCTGGGAACAGTCCATTCCTCCTCTTCCCGACACCACACAGTTGTGAGCAGCGCATGCTCCGCGAAGCTGCATGAGTGTGTGACTCCAGGGAGCCAGGGAGCACAGGCCGAGCACCTGGGCAGACGCAAGGCTCCTTGGATGCTTCAGGCCTTCTCTCCCAGGCCTTGATCCTCTGCCTTGTGCTGTTAGTGGGTCCATGAGAGAGTCATGTTTTGGTGTCACAGTGACATGCTAAATGGCTTCATTCTGAGTAGAACTGAAGTTTCTGGAGGATGCTGTGTGTGTCCTATTTCCTGGCATCCCCCTGCGTGCTTCAGTTTGTGAAGAGTGGCCTTTGAAAGCCTTGCCCTTCTGCTGCCTCCTGAGCTTAGAGCCTTATCATAAACTCTCATCTCCTGCTAGCTTCTGGATGCAATGGATGATGTTACAGGAATTCATCTGCTGTACTTTATTTCTTTTTTTTTTTTTTTTGAGACGGAGTCTCTCTCTCTCGCCAGGCTGGAGTGCAGTGGTGCGATCTCAGCTCAGTGCAACCTCCTCCTTCCGGGTTCAAACAATTCTCCTGCCTCAGTCTCCTGAGTAGCCGGGATTACAGGCATGCACCACCAAGCCCAGCTAATTTTTGTATTTTTAGTAGAGGCGGGGTTTCACCATGTTGCCCAGGATGGTCTTGATCTCTTGACCTCATGATCCGCCCACCTTGGCCTCCCAAAGTGCTGGGATTACAGGTGTGAGCCACTGTGTCCAGCCTCTGCTGTACTTTAAAAAAAAAAACTTTTTTTCTTAATTCTTTTTTTTTTTTTGAGATGGAGTTTCACTCTTGTTGCTCAGGCTGGAGTGCAGTGGCGCAATCTCGGCTCACTGCAACCTTCACCTCCTGGGTTCCAGTGATTCTTCTGCCTCAGCCTCCCGAGTAGCTGGGATTACAGGTGTGGGCCACCACGCCCAGCTAATTTTGTATTTTTAGTAGAGATGGGGTTTCATAATGTTGGTCAGGCTGGACTTAAACCCCTGACCTCAGGTGATCCACCCACCTCGACCTCCCAAAGTGCTGTGATTACAGGCGTGAGCCCCCTCCCCCAGCCTGTTTTTTGAATTTTTAAAATATTAGCTAATGATTTAACTTAGAGATGGGGTCTTGCTATGTTGCTCAGGCTGGACTCCGCCTCCTGGGCTCAAGTGATCCTCCCTTCTCAGCCTCCTGAGTAGCTGGGCTGCAGGCACACACCCCCACCTCTGGTTACCACTGTTTGTGTTTCTGTTATTACACATAAATAGCACCTTTAAATACTGTCTGTATTATTCAGTGGTCCTACAGTGGACCTGAAAGATTTTTGTTTTTTTAATCAAAGGATAAAATACTTGCATGTTCACTGATTTCGTTGCTCCTTTTAAAGTAGTCCTTTTTTGTTTGTTTTTAGATTACTCCAAAGGTTTCGGCGGCAAATACGGTATCGACAAGGACAAAGTGGATAAGAGCGCCGTTGGCTTTGAGTATCAAGGCAAAACGGAGAAGCACGAGTCCCAGAAAGGTGTCTTCCGTTTTATCTTACCCTCCAGCCAGCAGCTAGTAATGTGACAGGTGGTAGCCACACCGGAAAAGGAAAAACAAAGCGTTATTGATAGCCCTTAACGTAGATGTCTCTTTTTCATGAAATGCCCAACTTGAAAACGGCACATCCAGAAACACAGCTGCTAAATAGGAACTCGCAGCTTGAGTGTTATGGCGCTCCAGCCCCAGCGGCGTTGCTTATCGTGGTGGCCACACCCCGCACGTCTGTGTTGCCCGTGTGAGCCTGTGCTGTCTCATGGTGCGGGTGGAAGCCGCATGCGTGGGAGCTTCCATGGGGTCCTGTCTGGCTTAGTCACGATGCTGAGGTCATAGACTAGGTTATTTCCTGCCACTCTCCAAGGAGGGCCTCTTCATGGATGTTATCTAAAGTATTACCAAAGATCCGGAAGGGAAGAGTAGATTGAGTGAATCATATGCGTTTAACTGTATTGAAAACATACTTTCCACCTGTGACCTGCACTACCTGTTAATGATGGGTTCTGGCCTTTCATTGTGCATGTAGACTATGTGAAAGGGTTTGGAGGAAAATTTGGTGTGCAGACAGACAGACAAGACAAATGTGCCCTTGGCTGGGATCACCAGGAGAAATTGCAGCTGCATGAATCCCAAAAAGGTACATTCACTCTGCCTGTATGCGAGATGGTTTTAGAAGTTTGTTTTTGTTCCTTGCGGGGTCAGTTGGTATGTGTTGTGTCTGCGTGTGCCTGCTGCACATTGTTTTGTCTTCACTGTTTGAAGTTGTCCTGTGTGCCCCCCCAATCCCCCAGTTCCCTCCAGCTAGTGTAGTCACAAACCCTCCCTGCTGACACGGGGTGGTACCCCAGAGAGCTGGGTTTACCTGGAAGTGGGTTGCACGGGCCAAGCCTGCAGCAGGGGGCTGGGTTTACCCAGGAGTGGGGACATGGGTCAAGCCTGCAGCGGGGGGCTGGGTTTACCCGGGAGTGGGGGCATGTGTCAGGCCTGCAGCGGGGGGCTGGGTTTACCCGGGAGTGGGGACATGGGCCAAGCCTGCAGTGCTCCTCATCCAGGCTTCTTGTCTATAAAGTGGGCCACGGTTTTTGGCAGGAGATACTTACTTTTGAACCGAAAGTGTTTTCTTGTTGGAATGGGTGCCCCTTCCCTGGAAAAAGGAGCCTGAGGGGGCTGAAAGCCTCTCAGTGTGACCCAGCCCTGAGAGAAGCAGGAGCGGGGCTAATGGGGCTGCAGCGCCCTCCGAATCTGCAGGGTCTCTCCTCCCGTGTACACAGATACGCACACTCGTCTGCAGTGTGCGTAGGACGCTAAGAATGAACTGCACAGCCGGGAGTGCCTTTACTGAATTATTTGAAGTACAGTTCTTAGGCTGTTCCAGATCTTCGCTGAATGTTCAGATTTTAAGTTCATTCTTTAACGTTGACCTCTGGAGCCACCTTCTGGCGCTGAGCCTGGGAGTAGGATCTCAAAGGCCCTAAGCTCAGGAGAGCCCTTGCTTTCTGGAAACTGTGTTTGATTTTTGCGCATGCTCATGCAATTCTAACCCAACTGTGTTTCCTCTTTTGGTTGTTTTCCCCACCGTTGCTTGTGGATTTTCAGATTATAAGACTGGTTTTGGAGGCAAATTCGGTGTTCAGTCGGAGAGGCAGGACTCCGCTGCTGTGGGGTTTGATTACAAGGAGAAGCTGGCCAAGCACGAGTCCCAGCAAGGCACAGTTGCCACCAGCCTCCTACCCTCCCCCCGACCCTCCTGTGCGGCCACTTCTAGCACAGACTTCAGGGCTCACCGTCAGCACCTGCAACACAGTCCTCCTGTGTCACCACTTGTCAGCTGTCAGGCTGTTCGGCACTTTAAACCCATTTCTAGTAGAGCGACACTGATTTTGAGTGGTTCACTTTCTTCCCTGTGAACTTGTGATCTGTGTATGGCAGGATGCGCCAGTTAGTGTGTGGGTGCCATCTTTCTAACCCGGTGACCCATCCAGTCTCTGGACTGGGGCATCTCCGGTCTCCAGCAGCATTCTGCCCGAGGCTGTTCTGCTGTTATTGGTGACTGCCGTGAGCCACTGAGTCAGGCCTTCCAGATGAGGAGAGAGGTGTTGGTTCAACCAAACCACTGGCCATTTGACCAGGGGCTTCGTAGCAGCAAGGGCCAGGAGACAGGCGTGTTCTGTGTGGTTTCTGTGTTTCATTTGTGGTGGTGTTTTTGGCCGGGGTTGGGAGGTTTTTTGTTTGTTCTGTTTGATGACACCATATGTGTGTAACATCTCCACACAGAGCCACACAGTATGTACGTGAAGCCAGCTCTGCATCCTTCCTTAGAGCAGTTATGTTGTTACCTTCAAAATTTGGACTTGGTTATTAGAACCTGAACACATAATTGGAAAAACAGTAATTCCCTAACCTTGCAGGGAAGACTCTAGGCTTTCCACCTGCAGCGTTAGAAACACACAGCAGTGTTCAGGTGTGGGCAGGTAGACACACCTGGGGTGGTCCCGCAGACTGCATGGAGATGGCAGTGGCTCTCCGTGGCATCACTGCTGCATGACAGTGTGACTTTCATGTGGATCTGTGTTGCTGCAACGGAAGTCTTTGGCTGGTAGAATTTCCACATGGATTTTTTTTTTCTCTTAAAAAGCAAGAGAACAAACTGCGATTGAGCCTCTTTTTAGCGCTCAGTAGAGCAGGCGCACAGGAAGCAGATGAGAATAAGCCCGTGCTGGTGCGGAAGACTGTGCTATTGAAGTGGCGCGTTGCAAAGGCCTGTCCGTGCCCTCTTTCCTCGCTTAGCTCCTGCCTGCTGCCCGCCGCCCCTCCTGCCCCTCCTGCCCCTCAGGGAATGCTGAAGCCTCTGCCCCTGGCCTGTGCTCTGCTTCTCACTGCCTGTGTCTCACGACCATGGGTGGAAGCAAAACTTGCCTTGCAAGTGAAGCCTCGCTTGGCCATTCTCGTTTCTTCCCGCTGTGGTGCACCTTCTTGGGCTGTTTCTGGATCTGTCTGCATGCACCCACGGCCACCCCCATGCTCGCCTCCACCTCAGAGTAAGTGTTGTGTTTTGCCACGTTTCAGACTACTCCAAAGGATTCGGCGGGAAGTATGGGGTGCAGAAGGATCGGATGGATAAGGTAAATATTCCAGCCCCGGAGCTTAGTGTCTTCTGCCTGCAGGGGCTCTTGGTGGGCGTGGCTCACCGTGCTGGCCAACATCCACGCGCTGGGGTGGGGCACAAGTGATTTCCGTCGTGGTGGTGGTGGTGGTGGCGATGACTGACTCGGACAGTCTTGTGCTCCTCATGGCCGTGCTGTGGGATAGGCGCTGGCACCGGCCCACCTCCTAACTGGGGGCCCCAGGCCAGGCAGGCTCAGCACCTGGCTGCAGCCATAGGAACCCAGATGTTTAACATGAGAGGTGAGAGCCTCGAGGGCTCATGTCCATTTGAACTTAAATTCTTAATAGTAAATCAGATTGGAACCTGAGTGTGTTAGACTGCGTGTGGGGCTACCTCGCTGGCAGCCAGCGCTGCGTGTGCGGTGATGAGCCATGTCTCCCGTCTTCAGCCTCGTAGAGACGCGGGCTCCACACTGCCTGCTCCTGCGCGTGGCCTGTGGTCAGGGGTGGCAGGGTCAGTCCTTGCCTCGCAGCTGACCACACAGCACCATCCAGGGGCGTAGGCAGGCAGAGCAGGTGTTCGGGCTGGGCTCCCCAGGGAGCAGTAGCCTGGGCTCATTTCTGAGGGCAGGCGCGAGTTCACCAGGAGAGAAGGCTCAGGAGACCACGGAGGGGCGAGGTGTGGGCCTGGGTGGGACAGGAGTCACTGCAGGTTCTCAAGGAGCCTAGCTGCAGAGGGAGGGTGGGGAGCGGGGATAGAGCTGGCCCTGGAGAGCCCCACACACCACAGAGCATTCTGCATGTCGTGACATGCGTCACACACCACAGAGCATCTGACGTGCGTGGCCCCAGAAAGGTTAGCAGGCAAGGAACACTGGGGGGGTCTACTTTGAGAAGCCCCCGGCCTCAGCGTGGAGTCTGGGTTGTGGGGGTTGGCCTGGGCAGAGGGGTGTGGTCCTGAAGAGAGCTGGAGGGGCTCGGGTGGTGGAGAAGCAGGGCATGGTGTTTGGCGCCAAGGGACGCAGGGGAGGGAGCAGTCGGGTGGATGTGGGGTGGACGTGGGGCCAACTGTGGAGCCGAAGAACTGGGAGGAGCAGATGTGGGTGTCAGCGAGAGAGAGCTGGGGTAGGGCCGGGGCCGGGTCCGGGTGGCGTGCAGAGTTGGGAGGGGAGTAGGCACGCGGTCAGAGGACACTGGGCAGGGGGACCCAGTGAGGTAGCAGGGGCCTTGCAAGGCACTGGGACAGACGGAGGGAAGGAGCTCCCCTGTGGGTGAGTCAGAGGTTGTGGCTTTGAGGCCGGAACCTGAGGGACTGCCTGTGTTGTGGGTGTCTGTGGTCAGCATTGCTGGTGTTGGCGGTGACCGCTGAGCTTGTGAGCACGTGAGGAGGCAGTGTGTGGGTGTGGCCTTTCGTGTCATTGTCTTTCATCCAGGAGGGGGTGGAGCTTCTCTCTCTGTTTGCTGTGTGATGGAGGAGTCCAAGGCTTAGAGAGGGTGACGTAACTGCCCGGGTCCCCATACATTGTGGGGATAGGGCTACAACCCAGGCTGGGAGGTGAAGTTGCCCCCTCAGGGCAAGGTGATGTCTGCAGAGGGCCCAGTGGGTGATGGGACCCAGTAAGGCTGATGGCCTTGCCTTTGAACAGGTGCAAGCAGCTCAAGGGACATGGAGTAGACGCTGGAGCTGACTGATGGGAGGAGGGAGCGGGGTCCGAGGAAGGACAGGCGGGCCAGGAAGGGGGCAAGCAGGAGGTGCTGGGCAGAAAGGGGCCATGGTATGGGGGCTCTGGTGGCTTCTGAGCCTCAGGTGTTCTCATCAGAGGTAGTGAAACCCACAGTGAAACTGGGTACGGCCACTGGTCTCCATGAGCCCTGACAGTCTCCACCTGAGTCAGCACGTAAGAGTCATCGCCGTCGCTTGGTCAGACCATAGTTGAGTCCCCTGCAATGCAGAAAGGTGTGATTGCACCACTGGGTAGTGTGTAGGACGGGCCACTGGAGGCTTGCATGTGTCCCCAGCGTCTTCGCTTCCTGTAAATGCTCACACCTCTGGGTGGCGACGGAGGGTGGGGAAGGCTTGAGGCTGATCCCAGAATTGGTTTGTGGTAGAGCAGATGGAGATACATGCATTTCTTATGCTAAT
This sequence comes from Homo sapiens, assembly GCF_000001405.40. Classification (NCBI taxonomy): domain Eukaryota; kingdom Metazoa; phylum Chordata; class Mammalia; order Primates; family Hominidae; genus Homo; species Homo sapiens. The sequence goes on from NW_021160005.1 coordinate 186,410, forward strand.
GCTGACCCACGATTGCCTGCAAATGTGGTTGGTAATAGTTTTCATGCCTCAGTTAGTTTGCAAAACCGAGAGGCCATGAAGAGTGCTCTGGGCTGTGTGGCTGGGCCTTTGGGAAGATCTGGGGAAGGCATTTGCATCTGGCAGGAGCTACCACAGGGCATGGAGAAAAGAGAAAAGTGCTCTCCTGACGCCCATGTCCTGTCTCTGCAGAATGCGTCAACCTTTGAGGATGTCACCCAGGTGTCCTCTGCCTACCAGAAGACAGTACCTGTCGAAGCTGGTGAGTCCCGGCTGATACCAGGAGCACCGTGTGGTTTCCCAGGAAAACACTGAGGGGAAGGACAGTTGTGAAACAGCCAGGAGCAGATGCACCACTAGTTGAAAGCGTGGTTGTTGCTGCGTATTTTTGGGAAAGAAAATGATCGTTCTGATGAAGATCTTGTTTCTCCTGCAGAGGTTTAGAGTCACCTTTTAGACGCAGCATGGTGCAGCCGTTTCAGTGGGGCCCGTTTCAAGGGGCTCTTCCCAGAGCAAAGGGGCTAAGTGCACATTCACAAGGGCCTCCACACTGCCAGTGACCAGCTTCTGGGAGCAGCTGGGGCCTGCCCAACTCCCTGAGCCGCTCGGTCGCAGCTGTGACAGGAGGAAGACATCATGACGTCGATGTGCAGGCGACAGCAGACATTCTCTCTGCTGCTCGTTCTTGGGCCCTTGACAGGGAGCTCGAAACCTGTCCTTTTCTGTGCTGGACACACGATGGAGTCAGATGTGGGCCCTGCCCCGGAGAGTCAAGTAGTTGGGGAAAATGTTATACATACATGAGAGCAAGTGCTAAATTTAACACAGGATGCAGAGAGCCACCACTGACTTCCTTCAGGGGCTATGGACCCACAGTTCTCAGAGATTGAGGGCCCAGGACGCTTTGACACTTTGACCACTCGTGAGAACCCCCAAGATGTTGATGTATTTGATGACATTGACTATATTAGAAATTAGAGGAATGTGGCCCGGCACAGTGGCTCATGCCTGTAATCCCAGCACTTTGGGAGGCCAAGACGGGCGGATCACGAGGTCAGGAGATCGAGACCATCCTGGCTAACACGATGAAACCCCGTCTCTACTAAAAATACAAAAACAAAATTAGCCAGGCATGGTGGCGGGCGCCTGTAGTCCCAGCTACTCGGGAGGCTGAGACAGGAGAATGGCGTGAACCCAGGAGGCGGAGCTTGCAGTGAGCGGAGTTTGCGCCACTGCACTCCAGCCTGGATGACAGAGCGAGACTCCGTCTCAAAAAAAAAAAAAAAAGAGAGAGAGGAATGGTTTATTTATTTATTTATTTTGAGACCGGGTCTTGCTGTGTCATCCAGGCAGGACTGCTGCCTCAGTCTCCTGGGCTCAAGCAGTCCTCTTGCCTCAGCCTCTGGAGTAGCTGGAACTATAAGCGCATGCCCCCTGCCCAGTTAAATTTTTTTTTTTTTTGAGACAGAGTATCACTTTGTCGCCCAGGCTGGAGTGCAGTGGCGCGGACTCGGCTCACTGCAAGCTCCGCCTCCCATCCCGGGTTCACGGCATTCTCCTGCCTCAAGCCTCCGGAGTAGCTGGGACTACAGGCGCCTGCCACCACGCCCGGCTAATTTTTTTGTTGTTGTTGCTATTTTTTAGTAGAGACGGGGTTTCACCGTGTTAGCCAGGATGGTCTCGATCTCCTGACCTCATGATCTGCCCGCCTCGGCCTCCCAAAGTGCTGGGATTACAGGCATGAGCCACTGTGCCCGGCCAAATTTTTTTATCTTTAGTAGAGATGAGGTCTCACTGTGTTGCCCAGGCTGGTCTTGAATTCCTGAGCTCAAGTGATCCACCTGCCTCGGCCTCTCAAAGTGCTGGGATTACAGGCATGAGCGACATTGGAAAGTTATTAATTGGTTCACTTAAAAAGAATAAACCTTGGCCGGGTGTGGTGGCTCATACCTGTAATCCCAGCACTCTGGGAGGCCGAGGTGGGTGGATCACCTGAGGTCAGGAGTTTGAGACCAGACTGGCCAACATGGTGAAACCCTGTCTCTACTAAAGATACAAAAAGTAGCTGGGCATGGTGGTCCACGCCTGTAATCCCAGCTACTCAGAAGACTGAGGTACGAGAATTGCTTGAACCTGGAGGCAGAGGTCGCAGTGAGCCTTGATTGCGCCACTGCACTCCAGCCTGGGCGACAACAGCTAAACTCCATCTCAAAAAATAAAAATAATAATATAACTGGCCATGCACAGTGGCTCATTCCTGTAATCCCAGCACTTAGTGAGAAGACCGGCATTGTTTTGTTTTGTAAATCTCTTTAATAGAAGATGGCTGCACTCTCACATCTGCCTCTGCAGTCTATCGATGTTACGTTGTTTAGGAAGAACATGTGGAATCACCTAGGTAGGCGATTGGGAAAGGGAGGAGTGTTTGTAACCTTGAGGGCAGCGTGGGTGTCCTTCTGCGACGCCGCCCAAGCGTGCCAGGCAGTGGTGGTCCTGCAGGCCGGCTCCTCTGGCCCTGTGAGGGACTCGCTACCCACTGTGCTTGGGCAGCACTGTGTGTTGGTCATTTGGAAAATGCTGGGTCTCTGAGTTGTGCTCGTCTTCCAGTTGTGGACACTTCTCATTCCACAATACCAAAAAAAATCACATTTGCTGTCATCATCTATTTCATCTGCAGAAGCTGAGTGGAAATCAGCATGTTCATGTGGCAGCCTCACATTTTTCAAAATTCTGTCTTTTACTTGAAAGCTGGAATTTTCCCGTTGGCAACAAATACTCCAGTAATTTTTCTTGACACAATAGGCTTAGTTCATTCACTTGGGAGAAAACTGTTGCCAGATACCCAGCTTTGCATAACCATAGTTGGACTGTCAGTTGTTATTTCAGGGAAAAACGCTATTCCATGAGAAAACAGTCAACTTGCAGCTCTCATGGTTCTATTCATGGTCCTTGAGACACAGACAGCCACCGCCACAGTCCCGGACACAGCAGGGAAGGCTCATGTGTCTTCCCACTTTTTTTTTTTTTTTTTTTTTTTTTTTTTTTGAGACAGAGTCTCGCTCTGTCGCGAGACTGGAGTGCAGTGGCACAATCTCGGCTCACTGCAACCCCTGCCTCCCAGGTTCAAGCGATTCTCCTGCCTCAGCCTCCCGAGTAGCTGGGATTACAGGTGCCTGCCACCAAGCCCAGCTAATTTTTCTATTTTTAGTAGAGACAGGGTTTCACCATGTTGGCCAGGATGGTCTTGATCTCTTGACCTCGTGATCCGCCCACCTTAGCCTCCCAAAGTGCTGGAATTACAGGTGTGAGCCACCATGCCCGGCCATATTCCCCACTTTTGACTTAAATTTTTATCATTTTTTCTTAATAGACACGGGGTCTCACTGTCTTTCCCAGGCTGGTCTCAAACTCCTGATCTCAGTCTTCCCGTCTCAACCTCCCAAAGTGCTGGGATTACAGGCATGAGCCACTGCCCTCTTTTCCATTTTTGTCACACACAATATAAAAAAATGTATACTCTGGTTGAGATTTACTATACTCAGTATACGTCAATTACAGTATACATCAGTACCTTAACTGCTTTATCAAGGACAGATGTCTTTAAGGGAAATTGGCTGTTTTTATTTAAAAAGGTGAGTGTGGTGGTGAAGATACCGTCTTATTTAGAGATCTTCCTGATGCCAGGCTTAGGGGGATTGCCAGTCCCACCAGGTACGCAGTGCCCTGCGGCAGGTGCCCAGTGCTGGCTCCGGACCAGTGGGCTGAGCTGGCAGCTGCAAGAACCTTTCCCTCCTTGGGGGTTAGGGGGATGACCGGTTCCTGGGGAGGTCACTCTGTGTGGGTGGGGCTGTTGTCCAGGAGCAGTGTTTTTGCTGTGCTCAAGGCACACGTCCTCCCTCCTTCCTCTATAGTGACCAGCAAAACAAGTAACATCAGAGCTAACTTTGAAAACCTCGCTAAGGAGAAAGAGCAGGAGGACAGGCGGAAGGCGGAGGCGGAGAGAGCCCAGCGGATGGCCAAGGAGCGGCAGGAGCAGGAAGAGGCCAGGAGGAAGCTGGAGGTGAGTGGCAAGGAGTGGGCCGCAGCGCACCCTCCCTGGGACCTGTGCCGAGGGGATTGGGAGCTCTGGGGCCTGGGCGGGGCTTATTCTCTCCTGGCCAGGTTTTCCTTGGAAGGCATGTTTAACTCTCCTTTAAGGCTCTCCATTAAGGCACTTGTCACTTGCAGCCACACATAGGCTGAGTCTCTGGCCACAATGCTCCAGGCAGCCGGCTAGCGCTATCCTGGTCTTGCCGGTCCAGCCCCAGGACCCGCCAACCTGCCCTGCCCTCTGTCCCTGAGCTGACGGCAGAGTCTTGTCGGCTTCCACCTCCACGGGGCTCCTGTCCAAATGTCAGCCTGAGTCTCTTCTCACCCCTCCCCCTCTGGAAGCCCCTCCTTTCCCAGGTGGAAGTTTGGGGTTTGGAGGGGACTCTGTGCAGAGGCAGCCTGCTCTCGGGGCCTGCTTCTGCTTGGCCAGCCCAGCCCCGCTCACCCAAGCCCCTGGGCTGTGGAGAAGCGCTCCCAGAGAAAGATGCCAGAAGTGCACCCCTGGCAGGGGCGGAGCACGAGCCTGTGTCTGGGTGCTTTGGGTCTAGCCTGGGTGGCTTGCCACTGACAAGGACTTTCCTTGTGCTCAGCTGGATCAGGGGGGTTGTGAATAGAGCCTGAGGCCTACAGATGTGTGTGTGTGAAGTTACCAGGTGTGGTTCTGCAGCTGGGGCATCTGCAGTGTGGGGCAGGCCCAGCCTGTCTGGAAGCCTGGGCTTCTCCTATCCACCCCAGGCCCTGCCCCTGCAGGGCCACACAGGACGTGCTACTTTGGGTGTTTAACCTGTGGATGGCATCAGGTGACGTGGGAATTTACAACTGTCCTGTTGGGGTCAAGCAAGGCCATAGATGCCAGGAACCGTGCTAGGGTCTCAAGACCAGGGGTGGTTTTCTCTTCAAAAAGACAAGACAGCACTACCATTGTTCCCGTTAGAGCAAGGCCGCCTGCAGAGGGAGAGGAGGGAAGGGGTTTGGAGTGGACACCTGGGGTTCAGATCCTGCCTGGGCAGCTCCCTGGCCAGTGTGCCTGTGCCTGCCACCTCACCCTCAGACTCAGCGTCTGGCACTGGAGCCCACAGGCTGTCAGTGAGTTTCCTGTTGCTGCCGTAGTCACCACCACACACAGCACACAGCTAGTGTCTTATAGCTCTGGAGGTCAGAGGTCCTCAAAGATGTCAGCAGGGCTGTGTTCCTCCTGGTGGCCCCTCGGCCCTGTCTTCCCATCTCCAGCCTCTGCTTTTGTTGTCACCGCCCCTCCTCTGTCCCTCACACTCCTGCCTCCCTCCTCTCAGGACCTTGTGATTACATTGGGTCCACCCAGGCAGTCCAGAGTTCTCCCCATCACAGAACCCTTAGTTTCATCACATACACAGTCCCTCCCCATGGGGTCTGGGGACTGCGATGTCAGCAGCTTTGAGGGGCTATTATCCTACCCCAGTTCATCCTTTGGCCCCTAAAGCTTCATGTCCATCCCATGTGCAAACATACTCAGCCCATTTTAAGGTCCCCAAAGTCTCAACCCATTGCAGCATCAACTCAGACTCCCAAATCTGTGCCTAAACTATCTAATCGTGTGTGGGCGAGAATGAGCTGTGGCCCAGTCCCGGCACTGTCGCGTCACTGGCTGTGTGATCTCGGCCTCAGAGCACACCTGCCCCTCGAATCCTGCCTAGGTGCTGGTGGGATCTGAGGCTTGGTGCTCCAGCTCCCCTGCCCCTCGGATCCTGCCTGGGTGCTGGTGGGATCTGAGACTTGGTGCTCCAGCTCCCCTGCCCCTCGGATCCTGCTGGGGTGCTGGTGGGATCTGAGGCTTGGTGCTCCAGCTCAGCCTTGGTGTGGGTGTTTTCCACTCCTTTCCCCAGAGCATGCCTAGAGCTTGCACACGATCTTCTGAAACACGGCAGGCGTGACAGTGCAGAGTGTCATGGCAGCATTCTGATTGCTGTTTGTTTTCAATCACAGGAGCAAGCCAGAGCCAAAACGCAAACGCCCCCTGTGTCGCCCGCACCTCAGCCAACCGAGGAGAGGCTGCCCTCGAGCCCCGTCTATGAGGTTGGTGTCTTTGGTGTTTGAATGAGCGTGAGTGACTTACTGCCAGAGCCCAGGTCCTGTTTGTGGAGTGGAGGAAGCCCTTGCAGGCAGGCAGTGTGGCGTGGGTGTAGAGGGCATCGCTGCATTCCACGCCCGGAGAGGGGTGGGCCAGGAGCGCCTGGGGGGTGGGTGACATGCCTCAGTGCTGTCAGGGGATAGCTGTGCAGGCCCACATGCCATCCTTTCACCCCTCTGCAGCCTGTTGTAGTCTGGCCACTGTCACTGCAGTCCCTGCTGTAGTCACCTGCTATCAGATAATCAGATGGGGGTGTCTTCACCCCACTTGCTCTCTGCTGTGCAGGACGCCGCCTCACTCCCTAATGGCAGTGCTGCCCTCCTTCATCACTGAGCCCCTGCCTCCCGCACAATCTGCCTTCTATGCCTGCCCCATTCAGCTCTCCAGCCTTGCAGCCCCTCATGAGTGTGGCTGCAGACATGCTGTCCGGCCCCTCCCTGTGCTGCTGACCCCCTCTCATGGGTCCCCCAGTGTTCCGTCCCCATCCCTGAGTTACGGAGCCGCCTGCCGATGCCCCGCCCATCCCTGACTTTGGGTCTCCTGCTCCCCGCCAGCACCTCTGCGCTAACCACACCCTCTACCTGTAACCACCTCTCCTGTCCCCAGCCCTTGCCCTTTCTCCATCCCATGGCCATCATCCTGGTCTATGCATTCATCTCTGCTCGCCCAGGAGCCAGTCAGTTACAGGGGTCACACTCCAGACCATGGTAGTTCAGGAGCCCAGAGAGAGCCCTGGAGACAGGCCGGGTCTGGGATCTGGGCCTCGATGGCCGTGGCCTTGTCACCACCCGACTGTCCCTCCTTGGCTACGCTGCTGCCTGCTGCCTTTACCCTGCCGGGCCCTGGGGGGATGTGGTAAGTGAGGCCTTGCAGCTTGTCAGGAACCGGCCTCCCCCTCTAGTCCCTCCCCTTGGCAGCCAGCGCCATCTGCCTCAAGGAAGCTCCGACCCTGCCCCTCCCGTGCAGTTCAGCCCTTGTGTGGTTCCTGGTGCCTGTGCTGAGGGTGGAGTCGCTCTCCCTGCCCGATTACTCTCCCTGGCTAGCAGCTCTCCACCACTGGCTCTTCCCAGATCTCCTGGGTGCGCGGTTCTGAGCTGTCGGCATTGCTTTCTTTCAGTCACTGCCGGTGACATCAGGTGGACCCTGGTCAGAAACATTGATTAAAGCCACTGTCGGTGATAAGCAGTTCAGAATTTTCGCTGGGGCTCCGAAGCGGCAGTGGTTATAGATAGAGAGGTGTTCCACTGCGCACCTTTGTAGTTGAATGTGATTCTTTGGCGATGCCCTGTCTGTAGGCTCAGCTGCTCTGGAGCCACGTGGTGAAGCCGCTGTCAGGCAGGGCCAGGGTCGAGCAGCACAGGCAGGAGGGTGGCCGCTCGGCCCAAGGGTGCCTTGTGTGGCCTTGGAGATGAGGCCTAAAAAAAGAAATCAGCCAAATTAACCCAACAAAGACAGGCTCTACCCCCAGGCAACAGTGTGGGCAGGGGCGTGTCTCCTAACCTGCTGTGTGGGCGTGGTTATTGCAGGACTGGAGTGTCGGTGGTGAGGACCGGGTCATCATCGGGAAGGAAATGGCATGTGGGCACTCACCACCATGGTGAACACACCGGCAGGCCTGGCCTTCCTATACCGCGTCTGTTTTCTCAGTCCTGGCTGGGACTGAGAATTAGATGGCCCGTGGGTTTCTGCTGGCTGTGGCAGTACAGCTACTGCTCTCTAGAAGCCAGCATGGGCCCCGTGCCATGTGCGTGTGACCCTTCCCCAGGATGCGGCTTCCTTCAAGGCAGAGCTGAGCTACAGAGGCCCTGTGAGTGGGACGGAGCCGGAGCCCGTGTACAGCATGGAGGCCGCTGACTACCGAGAGGCCAGCAGCCAGCAGGGCCTGGCCTATGCCACAGAGGCTGTCTATGAAAGCGCAGAGGCCCCGGGCCACTATCCCGCAGGTACTGGGGCCCCACGCTGCAGCGCCCTGCCCAGGGCAGGGAGCTCCCGGGACATCCTGCTCGACCTGTGGCGTCGTTGCGAGGAGCGTGGGTTTCCCACTGACACGCCTTTGCTTGCTTGCTATAGGGTCTTCTTGTCCCTGGAGGGAAGTGCTCTAGGCACATTTGGGGCATCGGCTCCTGTGCTGGGTCCCAGGAAGATCCCCATTGTGCTGGGGACGGGTGGGCAGGGGCAGAGGAAGGGAGGGTTTCAGCTGCCGCCCTGTGTCCTTGAGACAAAATCTTAGGAAGTGTCGTCTAAAACTTGAGAAGGCTGGGAACCTGTGTGGGACTTTGTATTGTTCAGCTCTGTCATGGCTTTCTTTTAGAGGACAGCACCTACGATGAGTACGAGAACGATCTGGGGATCACAGCCGTCGCCCTGTACGACTACCAGGCTGGTGAGCGGCCTGCAAAAGCACTTGGAGGGGAGACCCAGGCAGCTGCGCCTGCCTCTGCTTGTTTTCTGAGAATTCACTTCTCTAGCGTTGTTAGTTTTAGAAGTAATTTATGTTGAGATAATTTCAGAGATATAGAAAAGTTGCAGGTATAGTGCCAAGAACTCCCATGTTCCCTACCCGGATTCCATCTCTGCACACACACGCACACACCCCCTGTTATCTTTAGTATTCTCTGAACCCTTGGAGAGCTGCAGGGGTGCTGCCACCCCCAAAGACTCCAGCGTGTTTCCCAAGATCAAAGATGCTGTCCCACAGGGACACCCCACCCTCCAGGTGAGGGGGCCGCACAGATGCCTTGATGTTCGAGACCCCATTCCTGCCTGTCCTGCCCCGGCCGCCAGCTCCCGTGTGGCCTGCACGTTCCCCTGAGTTCCCTTTGCGGCCTTGGCAGTTTAAGAGCAGCCTCAGCTCCTGGGCTGGCCTCAGCCGCCCGCCCCGTGTTCCCTCAGGGCCAGGCTGAGCTGTGCTCTGGTGGCGGTGAGGTCTTGGAGACCATGCGGTGGGGCTCTCTGCTGGGCCGCATAGCATCCACTTGTCCCTCTGTCTCAGCCACCACCTGGTCCACAAAGTCACCACCACCCCTCTGCAGTTGACAAGCATCTTACGGGTGGCGTGGGATTCCCCTCAGAACCCCCGGCCTCTGCCTCTTGAGTGCTTCCCGTTTGCAACTTTCCATCAGCGCGGAAGCTGGCATTCTACCATAAGTGAGCGCTGGCCGTCCCCGTTCAGTGCCTTTTGCACACGTGCATTTGCGTACACGCATGTGGGTGTGTCTGTGGCATCTCGGCACCTGTGCGTGGATTCTCATCACCGTGGCTTTTGCCCTCCATTCCCATTTCAGCCATCACCTCGGGCTTCTCTCCGGGTGTCCCCTGGCTGTCCTTCCACTGCGGCCTCCGCAGCCCATCTCCCCACCCCCTCCACAGACACGTCTGCCAGAGAGAGGGGAAGGGAGGGCAGGCGGGGCTGGAGTTATGTGGTGGAAACCTGCTCCTGAGGAAGGGGTCCGGGTGGGGTTGGTGCTTGTGTGAAGGGCTCTGTGCCTCTTTGTACTCTCTCGGTTCATGTTCACAAATCCTGGCCTTGGTGGCATGGGAGAGGCAGCAGGAGCCTCCGCGGTGGTCCGCATCTCTGCAGGGGGCATCTCTGAGCAGGCTGCCTGGGAGCTTGCTCTGGGTTGTGCTTTTTTTCTGGCAGACCAGGAAACGCTTGCACTTCAGCATCTTTCTCTGTGTTCTCTTCCCCAGCGGGCGATGATGAGATCTCATTTGACCCTGATGACATCATCACCAACATCGAGATGATTGACGACGGCTGGTGGCGCGGGGTGTGCAAGGGCCGGTACGGGCTCTTCCCAGCCAACTATGTGGAGCTGCGGCAGTAGGGCCCCCAGCCCCCCCCCGGAGCTGCGCCCTGGATCCTCACACTACAGATCAGGCCTTCTTTGGTTCTTGGGTGGTTTTGGGTTTTTTCTGTTTTTTTTTTTTTTTTTTTTTTTTTGAAGGTGGGGAGGGGAATATACACATTGCTTTTATATTTAATACTTTTGCTGATGCTTTTGAAAATGTTTATGCCACAGAATTTGCTAATATATTGTAATCACATTCCTTAGGAGGACTTTGGTAATTGGTTTTATGCATTGATGGTTTTTTTTTTCTTTTTTGCCAAATTGACTGTCACGCGGCAGCTTCAGGGAGCTCGCATTCTCTTGTGTTCGTGTTGCCCTCGTGCCCATCAAGTGCAGTCGGGACCTCCCAGGACAAGCACGAGGCCTCAGGTCGGCCCTGTGGCGGGTAGGCAGGAAGGACTGTCCCAGACGAGGGGCTTCCTCTAGAGTCTCACTGCTGGGGAGGAGAGGACTGGGCCTGATGGAAGTTAACCCGGAGCTAAGTCACCCAGAGCACAGGAGCTGCCATGTCAGATGGGAAATCTGCCTATGTCATACCGTGACAGCCCGCAGGATCAGGTGACTTCTAGCAGAGACCCTGGTTTTTTTCCTGTGCCCACTCCGGCTTGTCCTCATCTCTACCCATCCCCTGATGCCCAGGTCACCGGGAGGGCTGCTGGGAGCCTCTCCTGTCCCCGCCGGGCAGTGTCACTGAGTCCTTGAAATCCTCCCCTGCCCCGCGGGTCTCTGGATTGGGACGCACAGTGCAGTTGAGGTCTGCGTCGGGCTTGGCTTTTCACAAAGGCTGATGTCTTAACTGTCACCCATATGGTCCCTGGGCCACCGGGCAGCCTGGGGCGGTGTGTGTGCCATGTCACAGCATGGCCTCTCGGCCTTGGGAAGGAAGGCAGTGCCTGCTCTGCTGTGAGCCGCCAGGAACCCTCCTCCTGTCAATGGGGGTGTAGTATTTTTGCCAAAATATCATGTTCAATTTCAGTAGTTTGATCAGTTGAAGGCTAGAAGTGTGAAGTGCAGATGAGTGTGTGTTCTTCCCCAAGGTCCCCCCACAGCTCCAGGACACCGCTGTCCTGGCATTTGTGGCCACTCACTTTGTAGGAAACTCATCTCCTTCCTGAGGAGCCGGGAGGCTGGACCAGTCCCGTCGTGCAGTCAGGTGGGCGGTGTGTCTTTCCAGAAGGTCACGTGGAAATGTCTCGGGACTTGGGTCCCGGAGTGCCCGTGAAGCGTGTTTTTGCTCCTGAGGTGCATTTTCTCATCATCCTTGCTTTACCACAATGAGCAATGAGGTCGGGTTTTATATGCAACTTATTGTATCTGAATTCCTGTAGCACACCTCATAGGTATGATTTTTTTAAATTAAAGAATTCAGAATAAACATTTTTTGATCCACTTGCGTGATTTGCTTTGGTCTGTGGTCACTCCGTTCTGCAGTGGAAGCTGCGTCGACACTCTCGGTGTCCTGCGCCCCGGACCTGGGCTGGCGGAGGCTCTCCTGCCGTCCAGTGCGTCTCACGCGTTCTGTTCTGGCTTTAGACCGAACCGTACGTTCCCTTTTCAGTGTTCATTCAAAGGTGCTGCTTATGAACTGAAATGTGTTTACTCTGGCAGATGATTCAGTTTTTTGCACAAAGGTTCCAAGCAAAATAAAACACTCTGTGCTTAAAAGTCATTTCTGAATTACAGTTCTCAAATCCTGAGGGGGATTTTGCTCCCAGTCTCGTTTTGCTCAGGGGCACCAGAAGTTAAAGGCTAAGGGGAACAGTGGCACTGAGGGAGCAGGTGTGCCCTCGGGAGCCGGGGGTGCTGGGGAGCTGGGTTCCGGCTCACACTTCTGCCCATCAGGTGCTCCCAGGGAGCTTTCGGCTACACGACATGCCTGCTACCCCTTCCAACCTGGGTGGTGACGGAGCACTGCCTCCTCCCTTGGGCTGTCCCACACCTGCCTCTGGCTTAGGAAACAGTGCCTCTGCCAGCTCTGCCCACAGGAGCCTAACGTGAGAGTGCCCCCGCCCTCCTGCCACAACCGGGCTGCTGTGGGTTCTGCATCACAGGGTTGCAGCCCTAACGGCGAGCCCCGTCCCACACAGGGCCTGTCTGCTGGGTGAGATTGCAGCCACCTGCAGGGAGCTGAGTCCTGAAGAAATGAGGCATGAAGGCTTGTGAACCAGGGGAAAGTCCCAGCCAGGGTGGGCAGACGGGGTCAGGGGGCTGGAGGACAGGGTGTGACGAAGGGAGGGGGCCATGCAGAAAGGGCCCCCGCTGGCCCACTGTCTGCCCAGTCGGTGTGTGCCTGTGCCGCCTGCGGATGAGCATGGCAGGGGCTCAACAGGAGCGGGACACATCTTGAGTGGGTCTGTGTTTCTGTTCTATTGGTGGCCAAGCGTGGCCTGGCAGCTTGAGTGCCTGGAGCCAACCACCTGAATCTTAGCCGCTTTCTTTTTAGATGTGGTTGGGGTTTTTTGTTTCTGTTTCTTGAGAAAGGGTCTTGCTCTTTCGCCCAGGCTGGAGTACAGTGGCGTGATCTCCGCTCCTGCAACCTGTGCACCCAGGGCTCAAGCAATCCTCCCACCTCAGCCTCCCAAGTAGCTGGGACTACAGGTGCATGCCACCACACCTGGCTACTTTTTGTATTTTTAGTAGGGACGTGGTTTCACCATGTTGCCCAGGCTGGTCTAGAACTTCTGACCTCAAGTGATCTACCTGCCTCGGCCCCCCGAAGTGCTGGGATTACAGGGATGAGCCACCGTGCCCAGCGTAGATGTGGTCGTTTTAATGTCAGCTCACCGTGCCTTCTGTCTCAAAGTTGGATTCACTCCCCAAGTCCCCTCTGGCCTGAAGAACAGCCTAGGGGCATGCTTGCCTGGGAGCAGCTTGCTCTCAGCCTGCTGGAGGAGGGAGGGCAGGACATGGACGTGCTTTTCTCTCTTGGTGCCCAGACATGGAAAACGATTTTGTGGCACATAGGGAGCCGTCGGCACACAGGCACCTCCAAGAGCCACTGGAGCCACTGCTGGCCACTCTGGGCGCTCAGATGTGGGCACAGCATGGAGAGTGCTTTGTCGGGGTGAAAATGCTTACTTTGCTCCTGGAAGATATGCTGGCGAATGCTTCTTCAACCCAAGATGTTCAGAGTGGCTGACATGGTATTAACTGTGCACATACTGTGTGCTGGGCCTTGGAGGGGAGATGTTGAGTAAGAGAGATGGCTCAGCACTGGGGAAGCTGACACAATAAATCTGATTCCACCACTGTGCTGATTTTTATTTTTTTAATCAATTTATTCTTTTTGAGACAGAGTCTTGCTCTGTTGCCCAGGCTGGAGTGCAATGGCACAATCTCAGCTCACTGCAACCTCCACCTGCCAGGTTCAAGCAGTTCTGCCTCAGCCTCCCGAGTAGCTGGGACTACAGGTGTGCACCACCACGCCTGGCTAATTTTTGTATTTTTAGTAGAGACAGTTTCGCCATGTTGGCCAGGCTGGTCTCAAACTCCTGACCTCAGGTGATCAGCCTGCCTCAGCCTTACAAAGTGCTGGGATTACAGGCGCGAAGCCACCGCGCCCGGCCCCCACCACTGTGTTTAATTCTAACCAAGGAGAAGAGGAAGTTCTGAAAGGAGAACAAGGAGATCTGAGAACACGGCTCGGGCCTGGCCAGGGGCCTCTCAGAGGAAAGCTCTCCCTGTTGCGTCCCTCCACGCCAGGGCCTGCGTGGAGTGGGCACGGTTTTTGATACCTGCCTTGCTGACCTTCAGCTCCAATTTCTTCATCTGAAAGTGAGGATAAAAGAATTAACCCCTCTTTCTAGTCAGATGCCTGCTAGATCCATTTACCTGCTTGAATTTGAGATGTATTGCCAGGATACACCTCCACAGTCTGATGGAACACACTGAAGATATCTGAACAACAAAAGGTAACAATAGATTTTAATAATTTTTACTTGTTTTGCCTGAAACATGAGGATTCTCCCCTTTTCTCATCTCAGTCCCATGTTTTTTGGTTTTGGGGTTTGAGACGGAGTCTCACTCTGTTGCCCAGGCTGGAGTGCAGTGGCACAATCTGAGGTCACTGAAGCCTCCGCCTCCCAAGTTCAAGCAATTCTCCTGCCTCAGCCTCCTGAGTAGCTGGGATTACAGGCACCTGCCATCATGCCTGGCTAATTTTTGTATTTTTAGTTAAGATGGGGTTTCACTGTGTTGGCCAGGCTGGTCTTGAACTCCTGGCCTCAAGTGATCTACCTGCCTCAGCCTCCCAAAGTGCTGGAATTACAGGTGTGAGTCACCGCACCCGGCCCCTCAGTCCTGTGTTTTGAATTCTGTTGTTTCTTTTCTCCCATTTTCCCTCTGATTATTTCTTCTGACCTGTTTGACCTCCCATGGGAAGACGAGCTCTGCTTTTGATGATGATTGTGAAAATGCACACAGACAGCAACATAGTCAAAGAATTCTATGTTGTGTGATAAGGTGCTTTTTTTTCCTACCTACTGTCATTGTTATAATAGTGCTTCTTCGATTAAAAACCATTTGAGACAGCTCCGTTGTCATTTGTGAGCTGTCAGCTCGGCCCAACTTAGCTATCTCTGGATTTAATGTTTGTTCATATTTTCTGTGAATTACACCTCCTGCTATTACCTAGGAATAGAGCTGTCCCTCGGTACCTGCAGGGGATTGGGCCCAGGACCTCCCTCCTGTACCCAAATCTGCACATACTCAAGTCCCCCAGTCCCCTGCAGAACCCACATCTATGAAAAGTTGGCCTTGTGTGTGCAGGCTTTGCATTCTGTGAATACTATATTGTTTGTTGTTTTTGAGACAGGGTCCCTGTCACTCAGGCTGGAGTGCAGTGGAGTGACACCATCATAGCTCACAGCAGCTTCCACCTCCCTCACTCAAGCAATTTCCTACCTCAGCCTTCTGAGTAGCTGGGACCACAGGTGCACACCTGCCATGCCTGGCTAATTTTTTTTTTTTAGGTCTTTGTAGAGACGGCATCTCACTATGTTACCCAGGCTGGTCTTGAACTCCTGGCCTCAAGCCATCCTCCTGCCTCAGCCTCCGGAAGTGCTGGGATTACAAGTATAAACCACTATGCCCAGCCCGAATACTGTATTTTTTATATGTTTGATTGAAAAAATATGCGTATAAGTGGACGCTCACAGTTCACACCCTTGTTCAAAGGTCAGTTGTGTTCTCCTGAGTAGGTTGTGTGAATGAGATGCACGTGAGTCCCTGCAGGCCCAATCTCCCTCTGGTGGGCAGAATCCTGGCCTCCCAAAGATGTCTAGATCCTAATCCCCAGAACCTGTGATGATGTTACCCCGCATGGCCAAGGAGAATTAGGTAGCAGATGGAATTAATGTTTCTAATCAGCTGGCCTTCAAATTGGGAGATTATCTTTTCAGCACATGGCACTGGGAAAGTGAAATTCACATGCGAAAGAGTGATGTTGGTCCCTTACCTTTCACCAGACAGAAAAATTAACTGAAAATGGATTAAAGACCTAAACACAAGACCTAAATCTATAAAACTCTTAGAAGTAAACGGGGAAAGCTTCATGACATTCATGATTTGGCAATGATTTCTTAGATACGCAACCAAAAGCACAGACAACGAAAGGAAAAATAGCTAAGTTGGGCCGAGCGTGGTGACTCACGCCTGTAATCCCAGCACTTTGGGAAGCCGAGGCGAGCGGATCACTTGAGGTCAGGAGTTTGAGACCAGCCTGGCCAACATGGCAAAACCTGTCTCTACTAAAAATACAAAAATTAGCCAGGCGTGGTGGCACGTGCCTATAGTCTCAGCTACTTGGGAGGCTGAGGCACGAGAATCGCTTGAACCTGGGAGGCGGAGGTTACAGTGAGCCGAGATCACGCCACTGCACTCCAGCCTGAGTGACAGAGCAGGACTCCATCTCAAAAAAAAAAAAAAAAAAAAAAAGGTAAGTTGATTGTCATTTAAAAAACAGCATTGAAGGACATAACAATGAAAAGGGAACCTAGAGAATGGGAAGAAATATTTGCAAGTCATACGTCTGATAAGGGGGTAATGTCCAGAATATTTAAGGAACTACAGCTAAACAACAAACCCAAAGCATTTAAAAACGGGCAAAGGATTTGAATAGATGTCTCAAAGAAGATACACAGATGGAAAACGAGCAGGAGAAAGGATTCCCAGCATCACCCATCATTAGTGAAATGCAAATCAAAACCACATGGAGGCTGGGCACGGCGGCTCACGCCTCTAATCCCAGCACTTTGGGAGGCCAAGGCGGGCGGATCACGAGTTCAGGAGATCGAGACCATCCTGGCAAACACGGTGAAACCACGTCTCTACTAAAAATACAAAAAAATTAGCCGGGCATGGTGGCGGGCGCCTGTAGTCCCAGCTACTCAGGAGGCTGAGGCAGGAGAATGGCGTGAACCCAGGAGGTGGAGCTTGCAGTGAGCCGAGATCGTGCCACTGCACTCCAGCCTGGGCAACAGAGCAAGACTCCGTCTAAAAAAAAAAAAAAAAAAAAAACAACAACAAAAACCACATGGAGGCTGGGCAGGGCAGCTCACACCTGTAATCCCAGCTATTTGGGAGGCTGAGGCAGGAGGATCACTGGAGCCCAGAAGTTTGAAACCAGCCTGGGCAACATAGGGAGACTTTGTTTCTACAAAAAATTAAAAATTAGCTGAGTGTGGTGGGACCCGCTTGAAGTCCCAGCTACTCAGGAGGCTGAGGCAGGAGGATTGCTTGAGCCCAGGAGGTCAAGGCTGCTGTGAGCTATGATTGTATCACCCCACTCCAGCCTGGGGGACAGAGCCAAGACATTGCAGTAACATCTCACACCCATGAGGGTGACTACCATGAAGAAGATGGTCACAAGAGTTGGCGAGGATGTGGGGAAATTGAGCCCCTCATGCACCGTTGGTGAGAAGGTAAAATGTGGCAGATGCTGTGAACAGTATAGCAAATCCTATTAAAAAAAAAAAGTACCATATGATCCAGCAATATGTCTTCTGGGTATATACCCCAAATAGTTGAAAACAAGGTCTCAAAGAAATATTTCTACACCCATATTCATAGCAGCAGCATTATTCTCTGGCCAAAAGGTGGAAGCAACTCACTGTCCATCTGTGGGAAAGTGGGTAAATAAAATGTAAATACATAAATACAGACGGTGGAATATTATTCAGCCTTTGAAAGGAAGGACAGTCCTAGCTATTCAGGAGGCTGAGGTGGGAGGATCCCTTGAGCCCAGGAGTTCAAGGTTACAGTGAGCTATATAGTCCCGCCACCGCACTGGGCAACAGAGTGAGACCCTGTCTCTTAAAAGAAATCCTGACATGCTACAACACAGATGAACCTGAAGATGTTATGCTAAGTGAAAGAAGCCAGTCACAAAAAGACAAATGCAGTATGATCCCACTCGTGAGGTCCCTAGAGCAGTCAAATTCACAGAGACAGAGAATGGTGGCTGCCAGGGCCTGGCGGGCGGGGTGGGGGGTGTGGAGCTAACGTTTAATAGGCACAGAGTTTCCATTTGGGAATATACCTTAGTCTCTTTGTGTTGCTATAAAGGAATACCTGAGGCTGGGTAACTTCTTTTCTTTTTTTTTTTTCTGAGACAGAGTTTCACTCTTGTTGCTCAGGCTGGAGTGCAATGGTGCAATCTCGGCTCACTGCAACCTCTGTCTCCTGGGTTCATGCGATTCTTCTGCCTCAGCCTCCCGAGTAGCTGGGATTACAGGCACCTGCTGCCACTCCCAGCTAATTTTTTTGTATTTTTAGTAGAGACGGGGTTTCACTACGTTGACCAGGCTGGTCTGGAACTCCTGACCTCAGGTGATCCACCCGTCTTGGCCTCCCAAAGTGCTGGGATTACAGGCATGAGTCACCGCACCCAGCCAAGGCTGGCTGATTTCTAAAGAAAAGAGATTTGGCTCAGGGTTCTGCAGGCTGTACAGGGAGCATGATGCCCATGTCTGCTCCTGGGGGAGGCCTCAGCTGCTTCCACTCATGGGGGAGGGGAAGGGGAGCCCACGTGTGCTCAGATCACGTGGGGGAGAGGAAGCAAGGGGGGCAGGTGCAGGCTCTTGAACAACCAGCTCTGGAAAAAACCAACAACTCCCTCCCGCCCCTGGGTAGGGTATTAATCTATTCACGAGGGATTCGTGCCCATGACCCAAGAACTTCCTTAGGCCTCACCTTCGATATATGGGATCAGTTCCAACTGAGGTTTGGAGGAGTCAGACAAACCCTCGCGAACTCTAGCGGAAGCTGCGGGCGTTCTGGAGCTGGACGGCGGCGACGGCAGCGCGACAGTGTCACTGTGCTGCAAGTCAACGAACTGTTCATGGAAACACGGTTAAAATCGTGATTCTTACGCTTTGAATATTTTACCACATTTTTTTTTTAAGGCAGATTCCTTTCAATCATCTGAGTGAGCCCAGTGCAATCTGAAGAGTCCCTACAGGTGGAAGAGGCAGGGGCCAGGATCCAAGGAGCACCACAGCCTCTGGAAGCCGGGCAAGGAAGTGGACACCCCGGGAGCCTCCAGCAGGAAGGAAGCCCCGCGGACGCCCTAACTTCAGCTCAGCAGACCTGGTCAGATTTCCGGCCTGCAGCTCTGTTAAGGGGAGACGTTTGTGTTGTTTGAGGCCACCGAGCCTGGTCATCTGCGCCGGCAGCCGCAGGAGCCCAGGCCACCATCCCCACGAGGTCCGTATACTGTGATGTCTGCCTGGGCATTCTGCACAGGGTCTTTATTTTCTCTTCCCCTCCCCTGCAAGGTCAGTCCCGGGAGCCCAGAAGGTGCTTGATGAATGATCTGCAGCTGATTGAGCGAAGGAACGAGTGAGCCGAGCCAGTCAGCAGCATTAGTGTGATACGTGTTGCTTTTCAATTAAAGCTCTCTGCCTCTCGGTTGAGCAACTCTGAGAGCCGGGGTCCCCACCCTTCTGTCCCCCTCATGGTGGGTCTTGTACCCAACAGCTTGCCAGAGCAGAGAGCCATGAATAGGGTTTGGTTTCAGGAAAGATGACCAGGAGACTCAGCCCAGGAGTCAGCCTGAGTTCAAATCCTGGCCCCACGCTTCCTGCCTTGTCACCCTGGGCATGTGATTCAGTTCTTGGTTCTTGTACATTTGGGTGGAAACTGACAACTGCCTGCCATGGGGAGAACCAGCTTGCCTGCCTTCTGCACCACGGCTGGCACTGATCATTAGCAGGTTAAAAAAAAAGCTTTGCCAATACGCCGGGCACAGTGGCTCACACCTGTAACCGAAGCACTTTGGGAGGCCGAGGTGGGGCGGGGGGGGATCACGAGGTCAGGAGATCAAGACCATCCTGGCTAACACTGTGAAACCCCGTCTCTACTAAAAATACAAAAACAAAAAATTAGCCTGGTGTGGCAGGCGCCTGTAGTTCCAGCTACTCGGGAGGCTGAGACGGGAGAATGGTGTGAACCCAGAAGGTGGAGCTTGCAGTGAGTTGAGATCGTGCCACTGCACTCCAGCCTGGGCGACAGAGTGAGACTCCGTCTCATAAATTTAAGAAAAAAAAAACAAAAAACAAAAAAAAAACCTTTGCCAATAGGTTGAGGTGGTCTCATATTGTCGGTTTAATGTACCTCTCACTATGAGAGAGTAACAGCTTTACATTTGTTTAGGAAAGATTTGTTTTTCTCTATGTGCTGTATATTTATAAGATTTGCCTACCTTTCTCCCCTATTTTTCCATTTGTCTTTCACTTTGTTTACGGTAGGATTTTTTTTCCTGCAGAATTTTAGAATTTTGATGTGGTTTAATTAATCTGCGGTGCAGGGCTCAGAATTCATCTTCCCATAGAAACAACAGTCTAAGCAATGGTTTGGTTTCCAGACCAGCTCACTGAAACGGATTTCATTCATTGTCTAATGCGAACACTATACACTGTGCGGTGCGGACTTCAGCCTGACCCTGAGTGAAATGGGAGCCACTCCAGGGTTCACAACCAAGCAGGGAGATGAATTTGTGTTCAGAAGATCTTTAGGGGGGCACAGGAGGAGGAAGGAACCCCAGTTAAGAGGTCAGTTCAGTAACCCAGGCAAGAGGTGTGGAGGCGTAGACAGGGGTGGCATCAGCGGAGCGGGATACGCGGGCCTTAGCATTTGGCTGTGCTTTAACGATAGACCCAGCGAGAATTGCTAGCAGATTAGACACAGCAAGAGGAAAAGAAAGGAGTCAGGATGATTCCAAGGTTTTTGGTGCCTGCAGCAGGAAGTATGGAGTTGCCTTTTATTGAAACGGGAAGGACTGAGGGAGGTTCCTTGACTGCCCGTTAGACATCCAAGCACCTGCTGGAATTCCGTGTGGGGTTCAGGGATGAGACCCAACTGGGAATGTAAGTGTTAGAATTGTAAGCATGAGTTAGACCCATGGATTGGATTAAACCCCTAGATGTGGGTATTTGCAGACTGGGAAGATGGCCAAGGGTGAAACCCGGGGCATCCCAGGATTTAGAGGTCAGGGAGAAGAGAAGAGACCCCTAAAGAAGACCCAGAAACAACAGGCAGTGATAGGATGATGGGGTCCTAGGAGCTGGTGGCCAGGGCATCCCAAAGAGGAAGTGCAGCCGCGGTGTCAGAGGCTGTGGCGGACACAGGGGAGATGAAGATAGATCTGACCGCTGCTCCAGCATGGGGGTCACGGGGACCTTGAGCAGGAGGCTGGCGCAGCAGAGGGAGGGGAAAGCTGGTGGGAGCAGGCTCCAGGGAAAATGGGAGGTACACTAGCCCTAAAGGAATGCAAGAATATTTCTCAAAGCCATCATTCCAGCCCCAGCAATTACAACCAAAGAAAGTAATTCAGAAGCTGCATTTCTCTTGAGTGTTGCACCTTCAGAGCCTGGGATGGGGGAGCAGGAGGGTGTGGCACAGTCTGAGGGAGGCCTCTAAGCAATTGTCAGACCTTTTTATTTATTTTACTGTTACTTTTCTGACTGAACATATTTAATATAAAAATATGAGTTCAAGCCGGGTGTGGTGGCTCACGCCTGTAATCCCAGTACTTTGGGAGGCCGAGGCGGGCGCATAACCTGAGGTTGGGAGTTTGAGACCAGCCTGATCAACATGGAGAAACCCCATCTCTACTAAAAATACAAAACTAGCCAGGCGTGGTGGTGGGCCCCTGTAATCCCAACTACTCAGGAGGCTGAGGCTGGAGAATCGCTTGAACCCGGGAGGCAGAGGTGGTGAGCCTAGATCACACCATTGCACTCTAGCCTGGGCAACAAGAGCAAAACTCCATCTCAAAAAAGAAAAGAAAAGAAAAAAAAAAATATATATATATATATGAGTTCAAAAGCAATCCAGACAGTACAGATCAGTGTAACTTGAAAAAAATAAAGCCTTCTTCCTCTTTTTTCTCCCTTCCTAGAGGCGACTTTGTCAATAATTTATGGGTAATTTTATAAATTTTCTCTGCATATAGGAGCATGTATGTATAGTACAGAAATCCCTTTTTATATACAAAGGGATCATACTGTACTTCACCTTCTACAACGTGCTTTATCAATGTGATATATTTTGCCCATCTTTCTCTCTCTTTTTTTTTTTTTTTTTTGAGATGGAGTTTTGCTCTTGTTGCCCAGGCTGGAGTGCAATGGCGTCATCTCAGCTCACCGCAACCTCTGTCTCCTGGGTTCAAGCGATTCTCCTGCCTCAGCCTCCCAAGTAGCTGGAATTACAGGCACCTGCCACCACACCTGGCTAACTTTTTGTATTTTTAGTAGAGACAGGGTTTCATGTTGGCTAGACTGGCCTCGAACTCCTGACCTCAGGTGATCCACCCGCCTCGGCCTCCCAGAGTGCTGGGATTACAGGTGTGAGCCACCACGCCCAGCTTGTCCATCTTTCTCTGTCTCATTCTTTTTGTACCCTCTGCAGAGAATCTCATTTGTGTGTGAAGGTCAGGTCAGCCCCATCAAGGGACATTTACTGGCTTTCCGCATCTTTCTGTTACCACAGCGCTGTCCTGTCCTGAGACTCAATGCACACTTGTGCGCCTGAGTCTGGAGGGTGAATATTCAGCAGTGGGATTGCCCAGTGTGACACTAATAACCAATATGCCTTCCCTGCTCTCCTCTTTGTTACAGTCCCAAGTTTCTTCAGCATTGCAATGCGGTTGAAAGACTACAGTTGTCTGTCACTTGTCATCTGATTTAGCTCTGTGACTGTTCTGGAAGCAAAGCTCAATTGTGGAGGATTTCTGGGACTGGTCATTAGAAGGACAGACAGCTGGAGTATCCTTTGATCTCACCACTCTTCCCATTTCTCCCTTCTATTCTCTGGAGTGTGGGTGTGATGGCTGATGGCTGGAGCTCTGCCAGCCATTTTTGACCATGAGGCATCCTGAAAGATTTTAGATTCATGTTTGCATCATGGAGCTGCCGCACTGGTCTTGCCTGCTTTAGGACTTTTTTTTTCCTTTGAGACATGGTCTTGTTCTGTCACCAAAGCTGGAATGCAGTGGCGAGGGCTCAAGCCATTCTCCCACCTCAGCTTCTCGAGTAGATGGGACCACAGGTGTGTGCCACCATGCCCAGATTTTTTTGTTTTCATTATTATTTGCAAAGATGGGGCTTGCTATGTTGCTCAGGCTCGTCTTGAACTGGGCTCAAGCGATTCTCCCACTTTGGCCTCCCAAAGTGCTGGGATTACAGACATGAGCCACCACACCCAACTTGCTTTAGGATCTTTTTAAAAAGTGAGATGGAGAAGTAAAGCTTCTATTTTATCTAAACCATTGTTATTTCTAGTCTCTATTATGAGTCCAAGTACGAATCCCAATTGATCCACTGAGTCAGTGAGTACAAAATTTCCCTCTAGCATGTTTGGCACTCATTTACATGTGAGAGCATGTTTCTTCTTATTTTTGCAGAATTCAGGTATAAAAATTTTAGGCTGAGCATGGTGGTTTACACCTGTAATCCCAGTACTTTGAGAGGCCAAGGTAGGAGGATCACTTGAGCCCAGGGATTCAAGACCAGCCTGGGCAATGTAGTATGACCCCATCTCTATGAATAATAATAATAGTAATAAATTAAGCTGGGCATAGTGGTGTGTGCTGTGGTCCCAGCTACTTGGTAGGCTAAGGTGGGAGAATCACTTGGGCCCAGGTGGTCAAGGCTGCAGTCAGCTGTGATCATGCCACTGCACTCCAACCTGGGTGACACAGCAAGACCCCATCTCAAAAAGAAAAACCTCTTTGCCAATCTAAGATATCAAAATGCATATTATTTTTGTTGCTTTATCTTTAATTCTGCTTCCAAAGAATGGGCCCCTCTTTCCCTCCTCCTCTCATTTAATTTTCTGTTTGCTTCCTTTCTTACAAATACACAAGTGATTCATTACATGCTCATGGTGAAAACTCAAACAAGGACTTTCAGTTCTGGAAGTATTTTTAACTAGACATTATGAAAACTCTTTTGCCATACAACACCAAAAATGGTAGATAAATTGTAATAGGTATCTTTTAAATGTAAAGTTGAGCTTGCAAAAAGATCAAGAAAATCTTCAGGGGGACAAAGGAAAGAGGAAGCAAGAACACAGAATGGAAGGCCAGCCCTGAAGTCTTGATCACCGTGAGACCATCCAGGCATTTTTCTGGATGTCAAACAGTAACAATATACTAGAACTTTGAGCCTTGGGGTTTAACAGATGTGTGGGGGCAGGAGTGCGCATTTGGAAAGGGTACCTGAATAAGGCTTGGTCCTGAAAGGGATATGACCTCAGGGAAAGGGTGGGAGAGTGAAAAATCTGTCCGTGGTCGAAGAGTGATATTGACATAATTTGTTTAGTCATCTGATCTGGGTGGGGAAAAAGAAGTTGTGTGATATTTGAGCAAGATTTTGCCTAAAGGAGATTAATGACTGGTGCAAGAAAATACAGAAGGCTTGCTGGATCAGGATCCCCAAGGGGGCTGGAGCGACCTGAGATGGGGAAGAGAGATTGACTGACATTTCCCACACTAGCCACTAGGTGGGGCCACTAACTCAGGACAGCTTGGTTGCCCTCTCATTGTACAAACTGGATTTCCCACTCCCACCTCTTTGCTTAAGAATTGGTGATGGAAGGATAAAAGAGACAATCTCAGTAAATCCAGAGACAGAAATCAGACTCGTGGTTGTCAGGGGCTGGGAGAAGAAGGGAGTGGGGAATGACTGCTAATGGGTACAGGGTTTCCTTTTAAGGGTGATAGAAATGTTCTGGAACTAAATAGAGGAAGTGGTTGCACACACTGTAAATGTACTAAATGCTGCTGAATTGTGCACTTAAAATGGTTAATTTTTAAAAAAGCAAATAGAGAATGATTCAGTCTTGAAGTTTGTGATGTAGTGAAAAACAGACAATTTTGATACTACATGAAAGGTACAGAGGCCAGGGTCACTCAGAGGAAGGAGGGTGGATTCAGGGGAAGATTCTGGGAGAAGGTCAGGAGTGAGCTGAGTCTGAAAGAACAAGTTCAAGTAAACCAAGAGAAACAGGGAAGTCTGAGTAGCAGGAGAGGCAAGGCTGAGACTGTGTGTGTGTGTGTGTGTGTGTGAGTGTGTGTGATCAAGGGCTTCGATGCAGCTGAAGCATCCGGCACATGTGGAGAATAGAGACACAGGCAGGGGCAGATCAGAAAGGTTCATAGGTCATCTCAAGACAATTGGATTTCATTTTAAATGCAGTGAGGAGTTACTGAATTTTAAGCAAAGAAGTGACCCGATCTGTATTTTGGAAGGATCATTCTGTCACTGATGTGGACAAAGATTTAGAGGACACAAAAACTGGTGACAGCTTTATTCAGGGGCTTCTGCAGGATCTGAGGGGATATTATACTAGGAATGAGGGGGGCCATGCTGCTGTTTGAGATCATGCATTTATACAATAAATCCTCACTTAATGTCCTTGATAGCTTCTTGGAAACTGACTTTAAGCAAAATTACTTACTGTATGCTGTAAGAACTTAACTCTTGTTCATATGAGTTAGTCTATGGTAAATTAGTTTTGTTATACAGACCATTATTTCACTTAAAGTCAGTTTCCAGGAACCTATCGACTGTGTTGTGCTAAAACTGACTGAAATTTCAGTCTATACTTGTTCATTGCTGGTATTTGGGAAAGCAAATGGCTTTTGTACATTAACTTTGTATCCTGCAACCTTGGTATAATTGCTTATTAATTCCAGGAATAGATTATACATTTATAGTGGCATTAGTTTGTATGGCCGTGTGATTTTTCTGGTGTAACCAGGACTCAGG
Source organism: Homo sapiens (assembly GCF_000001405.40). Taxonomy (NCBI): domain Eukaryota; kingdom Metazoa; phylum Chordata; class Mammalia; order Primates; family Hominidae; genus Homo; species Homo sapiens. The sequence continues at coordinate 211,744 of NW_021160005.1, forward strand.
ACTTGGCAAGGTGAGGGAGTGGGGGTGAAGAGCACACGTGACTTTTTTAGCCTTCCAGCAGTAAGTGGGGATCTGCATATTCAGGAGAATAACCAAGGCCGGTGCTGCAATACAACCCTAAAAATGGATGTCTGTGTTATCTAAACAAGCAGCAGCTAAGCTGGGTCTCTCAGAGGCCTTGTAGTTATGTGGGCCAGCTGTGATAGCATTCTGTCTCTCCTTTAATTCACTGTACCTTTTCTGTGAACATCCTGGGAGCCTCAGATTGACCCACACCAGAGAAGGTTTAACTTCTTGCATCAGATAGAAAATGAGTGATAAAAGTTGCAATCAAACTGGCTGAGGCAAAGAAGGGAATTTGTTGGCTTGTGTATTGGAAGGCCAGAGGTACCTCTACCTTCAGGTAGGGTTGGATCCAGGATCTCTGCTGTGTTCTCGGGCCTTGGTCTCTCTATTTCCTGGGTCTGTTTTGCCCTGTGTCACTTCATTTTAAGGCAGAGTCTCCTCATGAAGGGACGGGCAATGCCTAGTGGTACATAGCATGGGACCCCATCAGCGAGAGCCCTTCTCCAGCCCAGTTGTTCCAGTGCAGATCTCTGGATTTGGACTTATTGGTTTGACTTTGGTCATGCACCCATTCCTGAACCAATCCGTATAGCCAGGGATGGAAGATACTAGCCAGGCCAGGTCACATGGGCCATCCCTAGAACTGGGGGCTGTGTGCAGGGGAGGGGCTCCCACAAAGGAAAGCCAAGGTGGTCTTAGTGGAGGGGAGATACCCAACAGGCAGGCAAAGCACCAGGGCCCTCTCCCCTTGCACTGGGCAGTCCTGTTTGGTTATAATTTCAATATCCTCGGGAGTTGCTTCGCATGTGGCCAGCTGTGGCTATCCAAGCATTCATGTGCTCTGTGACAAAGGAAAGGTCAGAACTTCACCGTGACCAGGACTCGCATCCACTTCCGTCCCACACTCTCACCAAGTGAAAGATGGTTTTTTAGAAATAGTGGCTGGGCATGGTGGCTCATATCTGTTCTCCCAGCACCTTGGGAGGCTGACACAGGAGGATTGCTTGAGGCCTGGAGTTCAAGACCAGTCTGGGCAACATAGCAAGACCTCGTCTCTACAGAAAATAAAAAAAAATAGCTGGGTGTGGTGGTGTGCGCCTGTAGCCCCAGCTATTTGAGAGGCTTAGGGGAGAGGATCACTTAAGAGACCCTGTCTCTTTAAAAAAAAAAAAAAAAAAAACTGATGCAGAGGTTTTTTTTTGTTTGTTTGTTTGTTTGTTTGTTTGTTTGTTTTTGAGACGGAGTCTCACTGTGTCTCCCAGGTTGGAGTGCGGTGGCGCGATCTCGGCTCACTGCAAGCTCCGCCTCCCAGGTTCACGCCATTCTCCTGCCTCAGCCTCCCGAGTAGCTGGGACTACAGGTGCCCACCACCATGCCCGGCTTATTTTTTGTGTGTGTTTTTTTAGTAGAAACGGGGTTTCACCATGTTAACCAGGATGGTCTTGATCTTCTGACCTTGTGATCTGCCCACCTCAGCCTCCCAAAGTGCTGGGATTACAGGCACGAGCCATGGCGCCCGGCCACCTCAGCCTCTTGAGTAGCTGGGATTTCAGGTGCTCACCACAATGGCTTATTTTTGTATTTTTAGTAGAGACGGGGTTTTACCATGTTGGCCAGGCTGGTCTTGAACTCCTGACTGCAAGTGATCCACCCACCTCCGCCTCCCAAAGTGCTACGATTACAGACGTGAGTCACTGCACCAGCCTGGGTTTTTTGTTTTTTTTTGCTTTCAGTAAATGAAATATGAGGACCCCTTTTTTTCTATAGCATACACAAAGTGAATGGGTAGTAACTCTTGAAATACAAAGGATTAAATTCTAAAAATTTGTTATTATTATTTTTTTTTAATTTTAGACAGTCTCGCTCTGTTGCCCAGGCTGGAGTGCAGTGGCACAATCTTGGCTCACTGCAAGCTCCGCCTCCCAGGTTCAGGCCATTCTCCTGCCTCAGCTTCCCGAGTAGCTGGGACTACAGGCGCCTGCAACCACACCCGGCTAATTTTTTGTATTTTTAGTAGAGACGGGGTTTCACCGTGTTAGCCAGGATGGTCTTGATCTCCTGACCTCATGATCTGCCTGCCTCAGCCTCCCAAAGTGCTGGGATTACAGGCGTGAGCCACCGTGCCCGGCCTAAAAATTTAATTTTATTGATGATACTCATCTTTAAGGACTTTGCTCCTGAGAAGTACAACACTGACGTCCCATGGGAACTCCCTGTGGGTTCTGGGGCTGAGGAGTGCCCAGCAAGCTCCTGACTCCCAGCACTTGGTGATCCCCACCTCCTGCCTGTTCCGTGTCACTGCACTAGTCCAGCTCATCCAGAGAGTGACATTGATGAGGCAGGGCTGCGTGCAGGAAACCCATGTGGTGCCAACGAAGAGCCCACAAGGATGGAGGGTCTGCCCACTGTGCTCTTCCAGGGGCTGAGATTTTAGTATCATTTAAATTTACTTATTTACTTTTTTTTTTCTCATTCAACACCTTCGGTATGTGTCATTTTTAGGTTTTTTTTTTGTTTGTTTTTTGTTTTTTGGGACGGGTCTTGCTCTGTCACCCAGGCTAAAGTGCAGTGGCACAATCACAGCTCAACGCAGCCTCGACCTCCTAGGCTGAAGCGATCCTCCCACTTCAACTTCCCAAGCAGCTGGGACTACAGGTGTGAGCCACCAGACCTGGCTAATTAAAAAAATAAAATTTGGGGGCCAGGTGGAGTGGCTCACACCTGTAATCTCAGCATGTTGGGAGGCCAAGGTGGGTAGATCACCTGAGGTCAGGAGTTTGAGACTGGCCTGGCCAACATGGTGAAACCCTGTCTCTACTAAAAATACAAAAATTAGCTGACTGTAGTGGTGCACACCTGTAGTTCCAGCTACTCGGGAGGCTGAGGCAGAAGAATTGCTTGAACCTGGGAGGCAGAGGTTGCAGTGTGCTGAGATCATGCCACTGTACTCCAGCCTGGGTGACAGAGTGAGACTCTGTCTCAAAATAATAATTTTAAAACATAGAATAAAAATAAAATTTTATAGAGATGGGGGTCTCCCTATGTTGCCCAGGCTGGTCTCAAATTCCTGGACTTAAGTGATCCTCCCTTCTTGGTCTCCCAAAATGCTGGGATTACTGGTGTGAGCCCCCTTGCCTGGCCTTTTTTTTTTTTTTTTTTTTTTTTTTTTTTTTTTTTGTAGCAAGTTTTCTAGAAAGTTTTTTGGTGGATTCCTTGGGATTTTCTACATAGACAATCATGTCATCTGCAAACAGGGGGTTTCAGTTCTTCCTTTTCAGTGTGTATCTTTCTGATCTTTTATTTCTTTTCTTGCCTTATTCCAGTGGCTAGAACCCTAGCACTGTGTTGAGTAAGAGTGGTGAGAGTGAACACATTTGTTATCATTCTTAGGAAGAAAGCATGCAATCTTTCACCCTTAACGTATGTGTTACCTGTGGGATTTTTTTGTAGATGATTTTTTTTTTTTTTTTGAGACAGGGTCTCACTCTGTCACCCAGGCTAGAGTGCAATGGCATAATCTCAGCTCAATGCAACCTCCACCTCCTGAGCTCAAGTGATTCTCCTGCCTTAGTCTCCCAAGTAGCTGGGACCACAGGTATGTGCCACCATGCCTGGCTAATTTTTGTATTTTTTGTAGAAATGGCGTTTCACTGTGTTGCCTCGGCTGGTCTCAAACTCCTGGGCTCAAGCGATCTGCCCACCTCGGCCTCCCAAAGTGCTGGGATCACAGGCGTGAACCACCTCCCCTGGCCTGCCTTATTGTTTTAGATCATTAGCTCCTCGAGAAGCCAGCGCCCTGTCATGAGGACACTCAAGCAGCTGTATGGAGAGGTCAGTGTGGTGAGGAACTGAGGCCCCCTGCCAGTATCCTGGTGAGCAAGCCGCTTTGGAAACAAATCCTCCATCCCCAGCAATCTCCTCCATCCCCTCCACGTCCTCTCTCATGAGAAAGTCAGCCAGCCTCACTCTCATGAATCATGACTTTCTGTTTTTCATCTCAGCTGAAATCTCATGAGACCCTAAGCCGAAACCACCCAGGTAAGCTTCTCCCCACTTCCTGACCCTCAGAAACAGCAGAAAATAATACACATTTAGGGCTGTTTTAGGCTACTACCTTTTGGCATAGTTTAGAAAGCACTGCAGGGGAGCCAGAGGTCACCTCCTGCCCGTCTTTAGCTGTTAGTGGGCTCTTCAGCCAGCTTTAGAAACTAAATCAACACCAGGCAGATGAGCAGGAGAAAAGCACACATGCTGTATGAGTTTTGAATGCTTGTGGGGATCTTCACAAAGGAGGGAAGCCTGGAGATGTAGCCCAAGCGAGATGCTTTTACTTTATTTTTGTCCTTTTCTTTTTTCTTTTCTTTTTTTTTTTTGAGATGGAGTCTTGATCTGTCCCCCAGGCTGGAGTGCAGTGGTGCGACTTGGCTCCCTGCAACCTCCGCCTCCCAGGTTCAAGTGATTCTCTTGCCTCAGTCCCCCGAGTAGCTGGGATTACAGGTGTGTGCCACCACGCCCAGCTAACTTGTTTGTGTGTTTTTGTAGTGGAGACGGGGATTCGCCATGTTGGCCAGGCTGGTCTTGAACTCCTGACCTCAGGTGTACCACCCGCCTTGGCCTCCGAAAGTGCTGGGATTACAGGCCTGAGCCACTGTGCCCAGCCTCCTTTTTCCTTCTTTCTTTTTTTTTTCAGACCCACCCGAGAATACAAAGATGCTTTTATGTTTTTTAGGCAAAGAGTAATAAATTTGAGAAGAAACGACAGGACAAAGAAAATCTAGCTGGGGCAGTCAATTTTCTGGGGGAGTCACTTGGAGACGTACAGGGGCATGTAAAGTAGGTGGAAGATGAGGGCTACTGCATTATCTATGTTTATTCAGGCCCATTGCAGCCCCCGATGTCCAGTCTCTGGTGATAAGGGCTGCTTTCTTGCCCTGGCACAGAGAGGGGACCCCTCCCAGAGGCATCCTTATGCTACCTGCATGCAGGAAGTGACAGGTCACCTCACCCTTTCTGAAACTACTGGTCATGGTTCCCAGGCATCATTTCTCCAGTTTTCAGTTCCTCCAGTTTTCAACATGAAATAATTGTAAACCAAAAAGTGTCTGAGACAGGTCTCAATTTATTTAGAAGTTGATTTTGCCAAGGTTAAGGATGTGTGCCTGGAAGACAGGCCTGTGCCTTCCTCCAAAGGTGGTTTTGAGGGCTTCAGTATTTAAAGGGAAAAGCAGGCAGGAGGGGAAGGAAGGGAGGGCGTGGCCACGTTTCG